>NC_000015.10:20532279-20689304 GCF_000001405.40 Homo sapiens
AGCACTTTGGGAGGCTGAGGCAGGTAGATCACCTGAGTCAGGAGCTCGAGACCAGCCTGGAAAACATGGTGAAATCCTGCCTCTATTAAAGGTATAAAAAAAAATTAGCCAGGCATGGTGGCACACGCTACTCGGGAAGCTGAGGCAGGAGAATTGCTTGAACCCAGGAGGCAGAGGTTACAGTGAGCAGAGATCGTGCCATTGCACTAGAGCCTGGGCAACAGCGCAATACTCCATCTCAAAAACAACAAAAAAAGGACAGATGAAGGTTTTCAACTTTCAGTAAAGGCAGAGGAGCTTGTTACGGATTCGCCTCCCCACAAGAGCAGTTAGAAAAACTGGATAAAAATGTGCCCCGCCCCCAATCAAAAACAATTGTTGGAAGGTAATTGGAGACCTCAGTCAGGACTTGAGTGACCAGGCCTAGGAGGTGATCCTGACAGTCTGTAGTGCTTTCCCACATTTGGTGATTGGTCAACAGTAGAGGGCTAAGAGGCTAAGAAACTGAGTATGAAGTGGTAGTTAAGAGGCTGGAGAGCCTAGCTGAATGTTTGGCACTCTCACAGGGCTGAAATGACCTAATGAGAATTTGGGTCCCAGGAAGGAGATGGGACCTTGGTGGGGACCCTGGAAGGGCCACCCCTGGGAGTCCAAATGAATAAAACATAGACCAGCCATCAGAAAACCTAAAACCTGCTTTGAACCAGCTTAGTCCCAAAGTAGATGAAGGCGATCTGCCCTTACTCCAATTGTGTGCCATAAACTCAAAGTCAATACTCTCTGGAGGCAGATAAAAGTTTACTATGAATGTCAAAAGACAACACAAGACTAAATGAGAAAGACCAAGAAGAAAACTAATAGAAACATACATGTAAGGAAGAAACTTTTTTTTTTGAGACGGAGTTTCGCTCTGTCACCAGGCTTGAGTGCAGTGGCACGATCTCAGCTCACTGCAACCTCTGCCTCCCAGGTTCAAGCGATTCTCCTGCCTCAGCCTCCCAAGTAGCTGGGATTACAGGCATGCGCCACCATGCCCGGCTAATTTTTGTATTGGCCAGGCTGGTCTTGAACTCTTGACCTCAGGTCATCCATTTACCTCGGCCTCCCAAATTGCTAGGATTACAGGCGTGAGCTACCATGCCTGGCCAGTATTTTGCCACAATTTAAAATAAATAAAATTTTTTTTTCAGGTTTGTGCTCAGACTATATTCTAAACAGTCACATGGCGGCTTACTCTTCTCCAGGCCTTGCTGCCGGCTTTTACATGTTTATTGTCTTTGCCTTCTTGTCATGTGCTCATTAGATGGCAGCTTCCAGGTGCTCCTAAGGGGCCAGGAAAGAGAGTGAGAAGGCACGGAGGTTGCCAGATCATCCCCCTTGGGGCCCCGCCCTCATCAACTCCCTCAACCGGGTCTCCTGCAACTATTGGTGGGCCATCTCGGCCACCGCTTCGCCCTGAGCTTCCTGCTGCTGCAGCTGGGCAGTGCCTCCTTCTCAGAGGCCAGCTGCTGATAGGCGGCCACGTACTGCTGCAGGTGACCCAGGTAATGGTCTCGCTGCTGCTGCAGACTCAGCCTCTTGGCTCTTCAGCTCCACCTGCAGGATAGGCGTCAGGGTAGGTAGTGGCTGGCTTCCAGATTCTGGGCCCATAAACAGGGTAGTGAGGGCACTGCGGGGCTCTGTCGCCTACCCAGGCCCCTGGCCCTGGCCCCTTCCTCCAGGCCTAAATGACTGCCTCCCTTGCCTAGAGGCCCATGCCTCCCTCCCCAGCCTCAAATCTCACACCCTTCTTCCCACCATTTAAACTGTAGGCCACAGACTGGTGGAAAAGCAGAGGGAGCCAACCACCATCTGCTAAGTTGTGGTGAGGTCGTTCTGTATGATCTCCAGGGTTTGCACACACCTCCGCCTGCTCCCCCCAAGAGCTCGGCCTTCTGCCCCAGCTTCCCCAGCCTCTCCTCCAGCTCCTGCAGCCTCACCTAGTGTTCCTGCATCTTCTCCTCCTGCTGCCGCAGCCTCACTTCCTGCTCCCACATCTTCTCCTCCTGCCTCCGCATCTTCTCCTCCTGTTCTTGCATCTTCTCTTCCTGCTCACACATCTTCTCCTCCTGCTCCCACATCTTCTCTTCCTGTTCCTGCATCATCTCCTCCTGCTCTCGTATCTTCTCCTCCTGCTCCCGTATCTTCTTCTCCTGCTCCCTTATCTTCTCCTCCTGCCTCCACATCGTCTCCTCCTGTTCTTGCATCTTCTCTTCCTGCTCACACATCTTCTCCTCCTGCTCCCCCATCTTCTCTTCCTGTTCCTGCGTCATCTCCTCCTGCTCTCGTATCTTCTCCTCCTGCTCCCGTATCTTCTCCTCCTGCTCCCGTATCTTCTCCTCCTGCTCCCTTATCTTCTCCTCCTGCTTCCACATCTTCTCCTCCTGCTCCTGCCTCTTTTCCTCCTGCTCCCGTATCTTCTCCTCCTGCCTCCACACCTTCTCCTCCTGCTCCCGTATCTTCTCCTCCTGCCTCCACATCTTATCCTCCTGCTCCTGCCTCTTCTCCTCCTCCCATATCTTCTCCTGCTCATGCATCTTCTCTTCCTCCCTCCACATCTCCTCCTGCTCCCGTATCTTCTCCTCCTGCCTCCACATCTTCTCCTCCTGCTCCCGTATCTTCTCCTCCTGCTCCCGTATCTTCTCCTCCTGCCTCCACACCTTCTCCTCCTGCTTCCGTATCTTCTCCTCCTGCTCGTGCATCTTCTCCTTTTGCCTCCATATCTCCTCCTGCTCCCTTATCTTCTCCTCCTGCCTCCACATCTCCTCCTGCTCCTGCCTCTTCTCCTCCTCCCGTATCTTCTCCTGCTCATGAATCTTCTCCTCCTGCCTCCACATCTTTTTCTCCTGCTCCCGTATCTTCTCTTCCTGCTCCCGTATCTTCTCCTCCTGCCTCCACATCTTCGCCTCCTGCTCCTGCCTCTTCTCCTGCTCGCGTATCTTCTCCTCCTCCTGCCTCTTCTCTTCCTGCTCCCGTATCTTCTCCTGCTCGTGCATCTTCTCTTCCAGCTCCCGTATCTTCTCCTCCTTCTCCCACATCATCTCCTCCTGCCTCCGCATCTTCTCCTCCTTCTCCCACATCATCTCCTCCTGCCTCCGCATCTTCTCCTCCTTCTCCCACATCATCTCCTCCTGCCTCCGCATCTTCTCCTCCTGCTCCCGTATCTTCTCCTCCTGCTCCCGTATCTTCTCCTCCTGCTCCTGTATCTTCTCCTCCCACTCCTGTATCTTCTCCTCCTGCCTCCACATCTTCTCCTCCTGTTGCTGGTTCAGGCGGTTCCACAACTCGTTCTCTTCCACCTGGGCTTGGAGCTTTGCTGACACACTCTGCAGCTCCTTACCCAGGTGGTCAGCCTCCGCCTGCAGCTGCTGCTGGAATAGTGAAAGTGTTTTTTTGAACCTCAGAAGGAAGCAGAATCATGAGCTAGCCACATAAATGTAATCTATAGGCTGGGTGCGGTGGCTCACGCCTGTAATCCCAGCACTTTGGGAGGCCGAGGTGGGCGGATCACGAGGTCAGGAGATCGAGACCATCCTGGTTAACACAGTGAAACCCCGTCTCTACTAAAAATACAAAAAATTAGCTGGGTGTGGTGGTGGGCACCTGTAGTCCCAGCTACTTGGGAGGCTGAGGCAGGAGAATGGCGTGAAGCCGGGGGGTGGAGCTTGCAGTGAGCCGAGATTGCGCCACTGCACTCTGGCCTGGGTGACAGAGTGAGACTACTTCTCAAATAAATAAATAAATAAATAAATAAATAAATAAATGTAATCTATAAAATAATGGTTTTCATCCATGATCCTTTAAAAAAATATTTTTAAGCCCTAACTCTTGAGATTCTGATTCCCCAGGCAGGGCCCCAATTTGTACATTTTTAGTACACTCTAGAGGATTCTATGGCGGGACCAGAACAAGGACCCAAATTTTCCAGCTCTTGGCTGGAGCCTCCCCATACCCTGCATGATCCCTAGACCATGGTCCCAGCTGGATGGGTCTCCCACAACCCCCGGGGCTGCAGCTGCTCACCTGTGGCAGCAGGAGCTTGGCCCTCTCCAGTTTCCTTTTTAGCTCCTTTACGTTGAGCTGGATCTCAGACTTTTCAGATTCTACAAGTTGAAGTTTTTCTTGTAGTTCGGCATTTTTCTCCTTCAGCTCCTCATCAGTTATCCTATGGCCAGAGGCAGTAGAGAAAGGAATGAATGAAGAACATAAAAGACCACTTTGGTGATTGACCCCCTACCCTCGCCCCACAACCACAGAACCGTGGCGCTGGAAGGGACCCCAGGAATTAAAAGTCCCAGGTGGCAGGCCAGAGAGAAGACATGAGTTGCCTGAGGCTACCCCATGAGTCAGTGGCACAGCCAGCACTAGAGCTTCCGTGTGCACACATGAAAACATGTATGAGCCTCTCCCCACACTCACCTGGACCCCCCACCTCCCAGCACACCACCCATGCTAAGGGCCCCCAGACCTCCCATTCCACCTTCCCCCATCCTACGTGTTCCTGTACAGTTCCAGACTCAGGGCGTCCCTCTCCTTTGTTAACTCCTCAATGTACTGCAAATAGAGAAAGGTTAAGTCAGGATAGAGCAGGCACAGCAGTAGCTGGACGACCAGGAACAACTGCTACAGTGACTACTCCACAGTAACACTTCCTCACTCTCAATCACACCTGACATGTTCTCAAGGCATTTCCAAGCCCATGGTCTCATTTGTTTTTCTTTCTTTCTTTCTTTCTTTTTTTTTTTTTTTTTTGGCAGAGTTTCATTCTTGTTGCCCTCACTGGAGTGCAATGGCACAATCTCAGCTCACCACAACCTACACCTCCTGGGTTCAAGCAATTCTCCTGCCTCAGCTTCCCGAGTAGTTGGGATTACAGGCATGTGCCACCACACCGGGCTAATTTTGTATTTTTAGTAGAGACGGGGTTTCTTCGTGTTGGTCAGTCTAGTCTTGAACTCCTGACCGCAGGTGATCCGCCCACCTCAGCCTCCCAAAGTGCTGGCATTACAGGCGTGAGCGAGAGCACCTGGCCCTCATTTGTTTTTCAAAGAACTCAGTGAATGTGGAAGGGACAGGGAAAGAGATTGAATTTAGAGCTGGCTAACAGGGGCCCAGAGCGATCAGGTAATATTGTTATTGCTATTACTGTTAGTACTACCACTGTTCGAACCTTTCTTGAGTGCTTCACCAGGCACTATGCTAACAATCCCATTTAATCCTCACAACCTCCATAGGAGATGGTTACCATTATTACCTCTATTGTGTAGATGAAAAACATGCGGTATTAAAGGTTAAGTGCTGCCTAAGATCACTTGGAGCTGGGATTTCAACACCCAGGTATATCTGATTCTCTAAGCCCATTCTTCCGCTGGAGGTAGGGGCACAGTTAAGAAGGAGGAAATTAATCCTTTGTTGAATTTTTGAAAGGATGATACGTTCGCATAGTCCAAAACTCAGAAAGTCCAGAAGGGAAATATCTCCCCCCAACACTGTGCCTCTATCCTGAGTTTTTTAATGAATCCTTACAAACGTGTTTTATGTATGTTACCATAATACGTACACACACACACATATACACCTGCCCCCTCTCTCCACACAAATAATAACATACTCAAGATACTCTTCTGTACCTTTATGGTACAAGTACCCTAACCGCCACTTAGGACTTGGCCAAGGCCACAGCCAAGTATGGGCAGGGCGGGCACTTGGCCTCTGAGCTCTATGTCCAGTGCTCGCTCCCCACAGTGCTCCCCAACTCACCCACAACAGCCGACTCAGCCCCAGTCTGCCTCTAACAACCACACACAAAAGCAGCAAGAAATGGCCATGCTGCCTTCTGGGCAGGACACTCCATCCTACAGAAGGGACCTTTAGGCTCACTCCTCCATCTGCGAAGCTGGGCTCCCAAGGGACGGGGCCGTGTTTGGACTCACCCTATCTGCCTTCTTCTTCTGTGTAGCGACAGCAGAGAGAGCCTGCTCTAACTCTCCTGCAAACTTCCATGAATCATGCAGGCGGCTGATCAGATCCCTGGCCTCTCCTGGAATGAGAGACATTCAGATGTGGCCCAAAGGACTCCCCCTAAAGGCCTGTCAAAGTGCCAGGTTGAAGGATGATGGGGTGCCAGATTCCCACCTTCCAACTGCTTGACAGCATGCTGGCTGTAGTAGAGTGCCATCTGAAGCTCAGTTTTCTGACATGTAAGGATTCGTATGGTATGAACCTGGGCCTTTGGGAGAAAAGACAAGCAAATGCTGAAAGAGAAGCAAAGAAACATTCTCCAGAGGGCAGGAGGGAACTTCACACCCTCCACTCACCTCTAGCTCCCTCCTTAGGGCTTCCTGATGTTGATGGCTTGCCTTCTGTTCCTATAGAAAGAGGAAAACAGAGCTCTTGCTAGGTGGAGGCAGAGATGGCACAGCAAGAGACATGCCCCCAGAATGGCACCACTGCCCCAGAACAGGCCCACCCATGGGACCAGTTTATCAGGGACCCTGTGGGGATGGGGTGGAATCTTGGGGGTGAGCCTTCTTCCCCAGGCTGGGAGTGGGTGAGATGAGCCTGGGGCCTCTACATCTGAGTGCCCCCAAACCCAGCGGTCATGTCGTGAGCAAAGAAATCACACTACTTCTTCCAGCTGAGCTCAGTTCTATTGTTTCTGTGGGGAGAGTCAAAGGAAGGTGACTGAGGGTGGCCCCCTTGACTCTATTCCCCAGGCCAGGAAGCGATAGGCAGGGGCCAGGAATGGATTTAAAAGGCACAGTTCTCAGACCCAATGGGAACATGAACTGGTCAACTCTCCTCAACTCCCAAAGAAGAAGGATTTGGGTCTTTTTGGTTTTTGCCCACAGCCACAGAACTCAAAGTCTGAAACTAGATTCTCTTGAAAAGATACTAACAGAAACCTTCAGAGGTGGAGTGCGAGAAAAGCCCACCCTTCCGCCAGCTTGTGATTTAGAAAGGTGCATTCACTCAGCAAACGTTGAGCACATACGGGCCAGGGACGGTTCTTCACAGCGGGAATAGAGGTCAGAAAAGGCAGACAGGAGCCCTTGGCCCCGAGGTTTCCATTCTAGTGGGCCTTTAACTCTCGGGCTCTCAGAGCTAACAGAAACCTCTGATACTCTCTAACTCTACCTCAGGAAACGCAAGCCCAAGAAGGAGAGTTTACAGCAGGTCCTGGACGAGGGATTAACATAAAAACACAATGACAAATCTCATTTAAACTTCACAAACGTAAGGAAAACAATACCACTCGTATTTTACGGATGTGAAAAGAGAGGCCCAAAGAGCTCAAGCAATTTGCGCTAAATCATATCCCTAGCAGATGGAGGGGTAGGATTCAAACCCAGAATTCTTAGCCAGTACCTGGCAGTTCTTCCACAATCTTAACAATTACCCTCCACCACCCCTTGGGCCCTCTGTCCCCAGGAGCCCGGCCAGCCAAGACTCACATCCTCAGGCGAGTGGCAACCACCAGAAGTGGTTGTCTCAGGGTTAGTGCCATTATTTATTTTCTTCTTTTTGGTGTCGCTTGCTGCTGTACCAACACTAGGGTTGGTCTGGGGATGATGGTCTGTCAACTGTGGAAAGGAAGAGCAGTGATACTCATGAGAACTACAAGCTCCTACAGTCACATCCTGCTTTACAGTTTATACTAAATACTCTTATAGACCATCTGATTTAATGCCACCAACTGTAGGAAATGTTGTCACAATCACTTAGTGACTGAGAGAGATTGATACCATGGCTGAAAAAAAAGGCAGTAATGGAACTTAAACTCAGTCTTCTGACTCTGAGCTCTGGGATTTTGCCCTAAATCAGCAGCTGCCAGGGACCAAAACCAGAGGCAGAGGTAGAAAAGCAAATATTAAGTAGGCAGGAACTGTGCACTATGTGGTTTAGGGTTATTCACCCTCACACGTCTGTTAGTGTTAAAAAGTACACCAGTACCTCTCAAACCTTTACATCAATGTCTCCTCATGGCAGAAGGCAGCCTTTCTGCTAAATCTGGGAATTTAACAGAAAGAGGACAACCCAAGCCTCATTTCAGAGAGAAGTCTTGTATACGCTTATAAATCTATGTGACTTTCATCCCTAAGTACATTAATGTTTTGCCTCTCAATAGAATCAAGGGAAACTGATGCTTCAGAAAGATGCCCCATATTTATCCTGTGGCACTCAAAGTACCCCAGGTTGAGATGAGATGAGGAAGACTCAAGCTAAGTTCAGTTTCCCAAGATCTGTTCCACAGAAGATAAGCAGATCTCACTCCAGAACCAGTGACTGAGGGGCACTCTGGTCCCAGAACAATGGAGAATTCAAATCTGAGGTGCAGAACTGAGAAAAAATGTTAAAGTCTCTCTGGAGAGTAGAAGCCTGGGAGAAAACCAAACCAAACCCATTCTCCCATTGCCACCCAGAGACACTGTCAACGTGTTGAGCTCATGGGGGAGGTGTAGGCTTTTCACACTGTCAAGGTCTGTGGTAAGGAAGTCAGGCAGCCTGAAACCTCTCTCTTCTAGGTCCCACAGTCCCCATTCCCCTTCCAGCTGGAAACCTGTGCTGCAACCAGAGGAAACAGAAGTGGGCAAGAACACTTAGGGGACTGGGTCCTAAGACCAAAGGCCGGTCTTGTGGTAGTAATGACAGTTTGTAGCGGGACTGTGACATCACTACATTCTACTCCTCGGTGGAGTGGTTGGGGGGGACACATGAGTGCAATGCCCAAGTTGCCGCTTTGAGACTGGGGAGGGGGTCACAAAATTGGGAGCCAGGTCCTTGGAGACGTGACCCCAAAGAGCCCCGGGAGGTCAGGCTTGGGGCGGCAGGAGGTGAGGGCCAATTAAGGAGCAAGGAGCTCCAGGAGTCACATCCCCAAAGTCACCCTGTGGCAACTGGTGAGGGCAGGTTCTGGGGCACCCAGGTCCTTGGAGATGTGAGCTCAAGGAGCCCAGGGAGGTCGGGTTTGGGGTAGCAGGAGGTAAGGGCGGAGTATGGAGTTGGAAGCCCCAGGAGTCACCTGCTCAAAGTCACCCTGGTGTGCCGGGCAGAGCAGGGGCAGGACTTATGAGGGGGTTGGGCTGGCTGACAAGATTTTGGTGTGGGGAGCCCAGAGGCACTGGGGTGGGGGGCCCAGCCTGGTGTCCCTCAGGAGTGGCACAGACTCTGGCAGCAGTTCGGCTGTCAGAGGGGGCCTCGGGTTGGGTTGGGGTGTTGGTGCGTTTACCTGTTCCTTGGCCTCGGCCAATTTGCTCTGTCTGGTTTCTTTGGACATCATAGGATGGGTAGGGAGGTGGGGATGGGTAGGGAGGTGGGGATGGGTAGGGAGGTGGGGATGGGTAGGGAGGTGGGGATGGGTAGGGAGGTGGGGTTGGGGCCACATCAGCATGATCCAGGTGAGGACAAGTATATACCTCCAGTCACCTCTACGTCGCTGTGTGACTGAGCCAGAGGAGGCGTAACCAGGGCTGCACTAGAATGCAGAATAGGGGTGTGGCCTTCATGCTTGAAGCCCATTGGTCAATGAGAAAGATGAAAGGAAAAGGAGGTGTGGCCAGACAGCAGCGTGTCATGAAGGACCTGTGTTGTCACAAGGAAAGCTGCCTATGCAACCGCTGTCCCCGCCCACTCCAGGAGAGGGGCGGGGCTGGCTTTCACTTTAAAAACTTTAAAACTTTATTACCTCAATTGAGGTACAAGTCCTATTAAAATGGAAATTTTATAGTGTGCTTGATGATTGATAAAGCAGACTTTATTATCCAACATTCCAATAAGATAATCACAATGTTTTCTCTTTTTTGGAAAAACTTTCTCTTATTCTCCTACATTAGCGTTTAGTTTTTTTAAAAAAAACAAACAAACAAGAAACATGTCTAATATCTTTAAAAATACAAAGCTTTGAGCCAGGCGTGATGGCTCATGCCTGTAATCCCAGCACTTTGGGAGGCTGGGGCGGGTGGATCACCCGAATTCAGGAGTTCAAGACCAGCCTGGCCAACATGATGAAATCCTGTCTCTACTAAAAATACAAAAGTAGCTGGGCATGGTGGCAGGTGCCTGTAATCCTAGCTACTTGGGAGGCTGAGGCAGGAGAATCCCTTGAACCTGTGAGGCAGAGGTTGCAGTGAGCCAAAATCATGCCACTGCACTTCAGCCTGGGCTGCTACAGAACGTGACTCTGTCTCTAAATACACACACACACACACACACGCACAGACACACACACACACACACGCACAGACACACACACACACACACACACACACACACACACAAGGCTTTCCATTTAATAAGCACTCAAAGTTCTTTACAAGGTTAAAGCAAATACAGGACCCTTCTAAAGTAAGGCTAAATGCTAAGTGATGGGGGAGAGAAAAAGGACATAAATAACTCCTACTCTCATGAGTTAATCACTAAATCCGATTTTTCTAGAATCACCTGGCCTCTAAGCCCTGAAAATGAAACTGAATTTCTCACTCGATACTTGGCTATGACTTGCAATCATGAAAACCAAGAATTGTGTTATGTCACTGTGTATTGCTTGTTACCTGGGATCAAGGGTTGACTTTTTCATGATTTGCTCCATTACCTGTGTGCTTCTTCTCCCAGTCCAAACTACGCTTTTTTCTAGAGTTCTACAATTTACAGTTAGTATGTAAGGGTGGCTCTCAAACATGTAGTCTCCGGACCAGGAGCACCTGGGAACTTCTTATAAATGTAAATTCTCAGGCCCCACCCTAGACATGAATGAATCAGAAACTCTGCAGTAGGGCCCAGCAATCCGTGCTGCAATAATCCCTCCAGGTGCTCAGGAACCTCTGCCATACAGCAGGTAGAAAAATGTGTTTCCTTCTGTAGGTCCAAAGCCAGGGATACTATATGTTCTGTCTCAATATGAAACAATGACATGCAATTAAAAGACATAAATCTCCTTCCTACTTCCACCCTCCAGCCAGTGTGTTTTATTTTTATGAGTTCAATAAGAAAACGTGTGGCAATCAGAGATTTCATCTAAAAAATATATCTACAGGTATCAGTTCTCATCCAGCCTGATCTCATCCAATATCATTTCTATCCTCTTACATCTAAAGTTTTAGAAAAGGATTTTCACAACGTAAGACTCAGGCGCACTAGGAGTTCTATGATAAAAGACCAAGTAGATCTGAATGTCCAAACTTACTAGAGAAGAAAAGTGGACTCATTGGCTATATTTTCAAATTGCATTCAACAGGAAATTAAAGTTTTGAATTTTTTCCACCTTCATCCTTCCAAGTTAATAGAATTAAACCAGAATACTCCATTCTTCCAAAGCCTGTAGCCAGGCAAACTTTTACTGTATTACTTCTTGCTTTTCAATGGATATAAAGCAGAGTCCTGGTAGGCACATTTTGTATACCTGCAAAGATGCAAAACTAAACAGTTCCCTCGGTTCAATATTAAAACAAAAGTCCTGTAAACCTCAGATGGTGAGTGTAATACTTCAGCACTAGCACGAAAGCCTCAAATATAAAAAGATACCAAGAACCTTGCTAGCAAACCAAAGTAAGCTCTTGGCTGGGAGCAGTAGTTCACGCCCGTACTCCCAGCATATTGGCAAGCTAAGGTGGGGTAAGTCAGGAGTTAAAGACCAGCCTGGGCAGCATAGCGAATTCATATCTCTACAAAGAAAATTTAAAAATTAGCTGGGCTTGGCGGCACACACCTGTAGTCCTAGAGCTACTTGGGAGGCTGAGGTGGGAAAATCACTTGAGCCCAGAAGTTTGAGGCTGCAGTAGCTATGATCATGCCACTGCACTCCAGTTGGGGTGACAGAGCGAGATCTAATTATTACATTCTGTCCTGCTCCTGTTTCCACTAAAATCACTAACTTAAAATGTGTTCATTCAGCAGGATAAAAATTAAGTGAAATTTGACTTTGGTGCTTTGCTAGCAAAAAATAAATAAATAAAGTGAAATGACAAATTACTTACTGGGAGAAGATCTTTGTAAACTCAATGACAGATTAAAGGTTTGTATCCTTAGCCTATAAAGAAATCTTTAAAATTACTCAGAAAAAAAAATGAATGATTTGCAGCAGAAAATGGGCAATGGAGAAACCAGCACTTCCCACAAGAATAAAAATGGCCAATGAGCAAATGAAAAAGATTCAAAAGCACTAGAAATCAAAGAAAGGTAATGAAAACAATGAGATTTTCTGCTTAAAGACCAGCGAAGACGACAAATGGAAGGCGGAACCTGGAGCTCTGTCCCTGTTGGTGGGAGCGTAAACTCAACCAATTTTCCTATAGGATGATTTGAACATTTGTTTTAAAAATCCTAAAACTGTTTTATATTATTTTCTTCTAGAAATTCTACTTCTATGAATTCAGTGCAAAAATCCTCACTCGAGTCCATTAAAATATATATAGAAGGAAATCCACCTCTGGGGTGGCAATGATTCACTTAACATACATCCAGCTGTTGAAAGTGATGATGCCAGGATATATTTATTTCTCCCATAGAAACATGCTTAAAATATAGTAAGTGACAAAAGACCATGTATTGTGATTCTACTTTTTAAAATGTTTACAGCATAAAAAGTGTGAAAAGCAACAAACCGGAATGTTTTGAGTGGCAAAATTAAAGATTTTTCTTTACATTTTGTCATCCAAATTATTACAAAAACAATGTGATTTCCTTTATAATCATGGAAAAGTGTTATTTTCATTTATTTATATTTACATTTCTTTTCTTTTTCTTCTTTTTTCTCCTGTATGTATCCCACATAGGCTACAGAGCTTAAATCCCTGCCTCTTGAGAGAAATCAGCCCATTTTCAGGACATGCAATACACAAAGCTGCCCCATCTTCCCTTTATTTTTATTTTTATCTTATTTATCTTATTTATCTTATTTATTTATTTATTTATTTATTTATGTTGAGATGGAGTCTCACTCTGTTGCCCAGGCTGGAATGCGGTGGCGCATCTCAGCTCACTGCAACCTCCATATCCCGAGATCAAGCGATTCCCCTGCCTCAGCCTCCCGAGTACCTGGGACTATAGGCATGCACCACCATG
Source organism: Homo sapiens (assembly GCF_000001405.40). NCBI lineage: Eukaryota > Metazoa > Chordata > Mammalia > Primates > Hominidae > Homo > Homo sapiens. The sequence goes on from NC_000015.10 coordinate 20,545,378, forward strand.
CCCAGCTAATTTTTGTATTTTTAGTAGAGAGGAAGTTTTACCATCTTGGACAGGCTGGTCTCGAACTCCTGACCTCAAGTGATCCGTCTGCCTTGGCCTCCCAAAGTGCTGGGATTACAGGCATGAGCCACTGTGCCTGGCCTGTCATATTATTTCTAAACATTTGAGTGACATTTCAATTAAGTGAAATTTAATTCTTACTGACCTGATCTCTTATCCTCTGTTTAATGATACCTTCCAGTTGAAAGGTGTTTCCTCTGTAATCACGGGTGCCAAAGGAAATACAACATGTATTCATTAGGTGGATATCCACTAAACCACGGATTCATGCATTGTAGTCCTTAGACCCTCAGCATCAGAAACACGTGGGAACTTGTTAGACATGCAAATTCCTGGGCCAGCCCCACACCTCCTGAATCAGAAAGTGGGGAAGGACAGCTATCTGTGCTTTAATAAGCCTTGAGATGCTCCCTGAAGTTTGAAAACTACAGAACTAGAATACATATGGTAGTAAGTGCTCATACTTTATCCAAGGTACTAGGGACTCTTCCCCACTTTTCCATTCTCTTTTCTGTTGAAATAAAATGAGAGCTCCTTTTGACTTAATGGGTATAAGAAAGAAGGCAATGAGATGACCAGGGTTTCAAGTTAGAGTTCAAAATTTAATCAGTGGACAGTGACAGGATGCAAGCCTTCTAAACAGATTGCTGCAAGGAAGCTGATTATAATCTATACAGTAGGTATCATTAGTGTATTGATGTTAAATTTTGGGGGTGGATTAATGGTATTGTGATTATATAGGAGAAGTCCTGGTTCCTAGAAGATATCTGCGAAAGTACTTAACAGTGAAATGCTCTGATACTGCCAACTTACTTTGAAATGATTCAGAGGGAAAAAGGGCACATATACAATCTTCCATACGCAGAAGACAGAAAACAAGTGTGACAAAACATTAACTAGTGAATCCAGTTGAATAGCATACAGATGTTCACTGTATGATTTTATCAACTTTTCTGTGTTTGCAAGTTTTCAAAATAAAAGTTGAGGGAAAGAAACATCACCCCAAATCTTTCTATGAAATGGGACCACAGAAAAAGCAGAGAAGTGAACACTTTGCAGAAAAGAGCACTGCACCCATCCGGACAGCATGGTCAAAGTGCAGGCTCTCCTCCAGGAGGCTCTTCTCTGGTCTCTTCTGTGCTGTCACTTCCCCCACATGCAGCCAAGGCTTTTTTCTAACAACTCTTTTTCTAAAGATGTAATTTTTGTCATTCATCTAAGAAAGAGAAGAAAAGAATTAGTATACATTTAGAAAATAAAATTACACTTACATTTGTGAAAAAGCAAAAAATACTTTGAAAAGTGGGGAAGCAAGAAATGTACTGTTCTACAATTCTGTTCTGTTCTTACCATCTTTTTATTCTGCCAATGACTTCCTATTCCTGCTGTGCATGGTGGGGTGAGCTGCAAATGATTTCTTTTCCTCATTGATTTAAAATGTCATGTTTATAATGTACCAAACTCCCCCAGAAGCATTTGGGTTTATTTCTGGGCTCTATTCTATTCAAGTAATCTATCTGTTCACAAGCCACTATCAATTTTGATTATTGGAGCATCCTAAAGTTAAGTAATTGTTGTTTTTGTTTTTGAGATGCAGTCTCTCACTCTGCCACCCAGCTGGACTGCAGTGGCGTGATCTAGGCTCACTGCAAGCTCCACCTCCCGGGTTCATGGCATTCTCCTGCCTCAGCCTCCCGAGTAGCTGGGACTACAGGCACCTGCCACCACGCCTGGCTAATTTTTTGTATGTTTAGTAGAGATGGGGTTTCACCTTGTTAGCCAGGATGGTCTCGATCTCCTGACCTCGTGATCCGCCTGCCTCGGCCTCCCAAAGTGCTGGGATTACAGGCGTGAGCCACCGCACCTGGCCCTGAATTTGCTTGAGTTTTTAGCTCTCTCACCCATTTCAGGATTGTCACCACCCATATCTGACACGTCCTCCTCCTCCTCTAAATCTTCTAGGTCCTCCTGGCCATCAGCCTCTGTTTCTGAACCAGCCTCTTCATGCTCCTGTTCTTCACTCTCTGGGAGAAGACTGATATCTTCATCTTTCTTTCACTAACCGCATTCTGGAAGCACTGTAAAATTGCTTCATTTTGCAATTCCAGTTGTTGCAAAGTCTGCTCATCATCAAAACTTTCTATCACAAGTTTTTGTAAAGGGCTGCCATGGATTCTACCATTCTCTACTGTTTTATTAAAGTCATAAAGCACTTTTGTTAAAGAAGTGAACTTTGGTTCCAATCCATCTTGAAACCTATTGGGAGGAATTAAATGAGATTTAGAATTATAGATAATAATTTCACAGCCCTCTTAATTAAAAGAAAAATAAAAACCTCAACTCTTCTGTAAAATCAAATTTGAATAAAGTGTAAGTATAGATTCTGGCCCCAACAACATATAAGCTGATGAGCCACAATGATATATAAAACCTGTCAACCAAGTATTTGTGAATCAGCTGTATAGATTGTTGGCAGGAAAAGCATTACAAATCTATTTGCTTGGAGATATATAGAGAATTAGCCTTAAATTTTCTACTCTGCTACATTATATACCACTCCATTCATTCATTCCCTTATTCACTCAATGATCAACATTTGCTTTGGCTACAGTGGTCAAGGAAAACCTCTCCTAGATGTGACATCTGAGATGAAACTTACAGACAAGTATAGTCTTATAAAGATTGGGAAACATGTATTCCAGGCGGAAGAAACAGCAAGAACAAATTCTCTAAGATGCAGTTGAGCTTGGTAAGCCTGAGGAATAAAAAAGTGAGCATGGCTATAGCGTGAAGGAGGCAGAAGGTGAAGTTGGAGAGACTGATGGGAGCCAAATTCTGCAGGGCTCAAGGGTAAGAGTTTGCCGTTTTAAGTGTAATAAGAAAATGTGAGAAGATTTTAAGCAGAAGGATGAAATGATGATTTATACGAAGGAAGAAGAAAGGGAGGAAGGAGGAGGAGGAAAGTAGAGTGATTAGAAGGTTGATGCAGCATTCCAGGCAAAGGATGATGGTGATTTAAGCTGGAGTTAGAGCAGTGAATATGCTGAGTACAGTTTGGAGGTAGAACTGACAGGATTGCTAAGGAATTAGATACAGAATAGAGAAAAGTGAAGACATCAAAATAGCAGCCTAGTTTTATGTGCGAGCAACTGGAGAGACAGAACTGCCATTTACTGCGATAGGCAAGGCTTGAGTGGTGGAGCAAGGGGAAAGGACTTCAGCGGATGGCAGAGTGTAGGTGGGTAGAAACAACATTCTACTGTATTTTGGACACAGTGAATTTGTGATGCTGAGAGGACCAAAATTTAAAAAATTGTTAAAAGCCGTACGGTGCGGATATCCCAGTTGTGCGCTACTGAATTCCAACTAAGCTCAGTCTGGAGTTGCTTGTGAGCAAGGAACTCAAGGGAGAGGTTGGAGTTTGAAACATAAATGAGTCATAATTTTATAGGTCATATTTGAAGTTCTTCAACAAAATACACATAAAACGTTTGTGTTGGGAAGAGACATGAAAGTTCTAATTCTCAAGAAGCTTAGTGGGGTAGACAGACAAGTGACAAGTTTGTGCTTTCAATAAAGTATGATGGCAGGTAAACACTGAGTGCTTTAGGAGCACAGGCGGAAGGAGAAACCAACACAGTTGTGTGTAGGGGGATGGGGGCCGTAATAAGCCTCAAGGGGAGCTTATAGGCGTGAATAACTGAGGTTAGGTTGATTTCAATAACATTCAACTGAGAGATCCATACTGTAAAAGTTTTAACAATTTTTAAAATTTTGATAGCCTAGGTCCTCTGAAATGTGGGGAAAAGTGATTTACATTTCCCCTTACCTTCCCCCAGCTCCACAATTTGCCAGGGGTCTGCAACCCGTGTCCACGTGCGACCGCAGTCGCACCCGAGCCCGGGATCTGTGCACTTACGTGAGGATGCACTCGGGCCAGCCAGTGGCTTTGCCCACCTCCCTCAGACACCGCTCCAGGGTCCGTCAGCGCCAGGCCCATGGGCCATGGCTGTCTGCAACTCCCGACACAAGCTGCAAGGCAAGAGAGCCGCTGGGAAACCGCACCGCAAGGATGCTGGCATTGGAACAGGAATTAAAAGAAATGAAAAAATGTGTAAGCAAAAACTCAGCTGTATGTAAAAAAAACCCAATTCCCCCTGAGAATGAGAAAGAGCCTTAGTCCTTTAAAAAAACTACCTGTTTTCCTATGGCTAGTGAGCCTTATCGCTCCCTTCCCAGGCATTATCAAAACCCTAATTCCCTAACTGTGCAACTGCAAGGTCACTAAACAAACAAATGCAAGTCACAAAACATATTTTTCCTAAAAACGTAAAAAAAAAAAAAAACATAATGCGTGCTTCAATTAAATAACTCTCTGTTTCTCGCTTCTGTAATATGCTTCCCCCTGCACAGATCTACCCGGGCTCCACAAAATGCTAAAAGATAACTCTTTATTCAGCTCAACGCTTTGATCTGCCTGGCGTGGTGGCTCACTCTTGTGATCCCAGGACTTTGGACGGCCAAGTAGGGTGGATCGCTTGTGCCTTGGAGTTCCAGACAGGCCTGGGCAACATGGTGAAACCTGGTCTTTTTGTTTTGTCTTGTTTTGAGACGGAGTTTCGCTCTTGTTGCCCAGGCTGGAATGCAGTGGCTGGGTCTCTGCTTGCCGCGACTTCCGCCTCCCGGGTTTCGGTCGTTGTCCTGCATCAGCCTCCAGAGTGGCTGGGATTGCAGGCATAAGCCACCAAGCCCGGCTAATTTTGTATTTTTTTTTTATTTTTATTTTGGTACAGATGGGGTTTCTCCCTGTTGGTCAGGCTGGTCTCAAACTCCCGACCTCAGGTGATCCACCTGCCTAGGCCTCCCGAGGTGCTAGGATTGCAGGCTTGAGCCACCGCTCCCGGCCCAACTTATTAATCAGAAAGGAATAGATCGTCCTGGTGTGGTGGCTCACGCTTGTGATCCCAGTACTTCGGATGGCCCAGCGCGGGGTATCCCTTGAGCCTAGGAGTTCCAGACCTGCCTGGGCAACATGGTGAAACCCGGTCTCTCTCTCTCTCTCTCTTTTTTTTTTGAGGCGGAGTTTCGCTCTTGTTGCCCAGGGTGGAGTGCAGTGGCTGGGTCTCCGCTCGCAGCGACTTCTGCCTCCAGGGTTTTAGTAGTTCTCCTGCCTCAGTCTCCGGAGTGGCTGGGATTGCAGGCCTGACCAACATTGCTCTGCTAATTTTTTTTTATTTGTTTTTGGTAGAGACGGGGTTTCTCCATGCTGGGCAAGCTGATCTCAAACTCCAGACCTCAGGTTATCCGCCCACCTCGGCCTCCGGGGATGCTGGAATTGCAGGCGTGAGCCAGCGCACACACCCAATTTATTTTTATTTCATTTTTTATTTTTATATATATATACTTTTGAGACGGAGTCTCACTTTGTCACCCAGGCTGGAGTGCAGTGGTGCGCTGTCTCGGCTCACTGCAACCTCTGCCTCCCAGGTTCAAGCGATTCTCCTGCCTCAGCCGCCTGAGTAGCTGAGATTACAGGCACCCGCTAGCACACCCATCTAATTTTTTTTTTTTTTTTTTTTTTGTATTTTTAGTAGAGATGGGTTTTCATCATGTTGGCCAGGCTGGTCTCGAACTCCGGACCTCAGGTAAACCCACCTCGGCCTCCCAAAGTGCTGGGATGACAGGAAGGATCGGCCTGGCGTGGTGGCTCACGCTTTTGATCCCAGGAGTTTGGACGGGCCGAGCGTGGCGGATCCCTTGATCCTAGGAGTTCTAGACCAGCCTGGGCAACATGGTGAAAACCGGTCTCTCTCTCTCTCTCTTTTTTTTTTTTGAGGCGTAGTTTCCCTCTTGTTGCAGGGCTGGAGTGCAGTGGTGCGGTGTCGGCTCCCCGCGGCCTCTGCCTCTGGGTTTGGGTGGTTCTCCTGCCTCAGCCTCCGAGTGACTGGGATTGCAGGCGGGAGCCACCCTGCCCAGCTCTTTTTTTTTTTTTTTTTTTTTCTGGTAGAGACAGGTCTCTCCATGTTGGTCAGGCTGGTCTCAAACTCCCGATCTCAGGTGATCCGCCCGCCACGGCCTCCCGGGGTGCTGGGACTGCAGGCGTGAGCCACCGCTCCCGGCCCAATTTATTAATCAGAAAGAAATAGATCGGCCTGGCGTGGTGGCTCACGCTTTTGATCCCAGGACTTTGGACAACCGAGCGTGGGGAATTGCTTGAGCCTAAGAGTTCCAGACCTGCCTGGGCAACATGGTGAAAATCTGTCTCTTATTATTATTATTTTTTTTTTTTGAGGCGGAGTTTCCCTCTTGTTGCCCAGGCTGGAGTGCAGTGGCTGGGTCTCCGCTCGCGGCAAATTCTGCATCCCGGGTTTTGGTGGTTCTCCTGCCTCAGCCTCCTGAGTAGCTGGGATTACAGGCGCCTGCCGCCACACCCGGCTAATTTTTTTTTTTTGTATTTTTAGTAGAGACGGGTTTTCATCATGTTGGCCAGGCTGGTCTCAAATTCCTGACCTCCGGTGATCCACCCACCTCCGCCTCCCCAAGTGCTGGGATGACAGGCGTGATCGGCCTGGCGTGGTGGTTCACGCTTTTGATTCCAGGACTTTGGACTGGCCAAGCGTGGGGGATTGCTTGAGCCTAGGAGTTCCAGACCGGCCTGGGCAACATGGTTAAACCCAGTCTTTTTTTAAATTCCTTTATTATTATTATTGTTTTTTTTTTTTGAGACGGAGTCTCTCTGTCGCCCAGGCTGGAGTGCAGTGGCGCTATCTCGGCTCACTGCAGCCTCTGCCTCCCAGGGTCAAGGGATTCTCCTGCCTCAGCCTCCTGAGTAGCTGGGATTACAGGCGCCCACCACCACACCCGGCTAATTTTTTTTTATTTTTTAGTAGATCGTGGTAACTGCCTTAAAATGATGATTGTTCAGAAAGTCAGTTTAATTTAGATACTAAGGATATTGAGGTTATGTAACATTTGAGCAAGTTCTAAAAAAAAGAGAAATAGTATATTTAATTGCTAATAAAGTATTGTCAACTCACAAATATATTCACATAGCATACATTTCAAGAGCAGAATAACCATGAATATAAAAGGAATTAGCAAAAACGAAACAAAAAAGACATGAAGAAATAAAAACAGATGGAACAAATAGCACAAAATACGATGAAAGTTATAAAAGAAACTATGCCAACAATCACAATAAATGTAAATAGACTGAATAATTAAGAGAAAATGACTATAAAACAGAATTAGGGCACGCGTGGTGGCTCATGCCTGTAATCCCAGCACTTTGGGAGGATGAGGCAGGCGGAGGGATCACAAGGTCAGGAGTTCGAGAGCAGCCTGACCAACATGGTGAAACCCCATCTCTGCTAATACAAAAATTAGCCGGCGTGGTGGTGAACATCTGTAATCCCAGTTACTCAGGAGGCTGAGGCAGGAGAATCGCTTGAATCCAGGAGGCAGAGGTTGCAGTGCCGAGATCACACCATTACACTCCAGCCTGGGCAACAGAGCAAGACTCCGTATCAAAAAAAAAAACACACACAAAAAAACACAAAAACAGAAAATAAACAGTATGAAAAGACATCTAAAACATAAAGTCACAGAAAGACTGAGAGAGATTGAAAAAAGATACACCTGTCATATGTACCTAACCCAAAGAAGGGTTGGAAGCTATATTATTATCAGATAAAATAGGCTTTGGGCAAAAAGCAATATGGGAGATTTTTTAAGGCCACAATATAATGATAAAAATTCTAATAAACCAAGGGAGAAGGTAATCTAAAATGTTAATGTATCTAATAACTAGCACTCAAAATACATGAAAGCAAAATATGACAAAATTGCAACCCTCAGAGGGCAATTTAAATACATATCTCAGTATCTGATAAAAGAGACAAAAAACAATCAGCATAGACATAGAAGATTTACATCTCTCTAGAAAATTAACAAGCTTGACCTAATGTACAGAAAAAACATATCTCTCCAAAGTGACAGCATTCACCCCCCCAAGTACATATGTACTGAGCCATAAGGAAAATCTCAACAAATTCCAAAGAAGCGGAATCATGCACCCATCTTTCTCTCTAACCATAATCTCATTAAACTAAAAACAATAATAAAAAGATAAAGTAAAAAGCCAGAAAGGCAGATGCTAAATGAGAAAGTGACAGAAAAGTTACAGATTTTATTAAGCATACAAAGCTTCTATGGGGTAAAGCAGTCAAAGGGATATGCAAATTTACACAGAAATCCAACCGATATAAATCCTTGAAAGATACTACATACAGATATTTCATCAGTTCTCACATGCCAAACCCAGCAAAGCCAAACTTTGGAGCCTCCCCTGCGAGCAGACCTGCCACAGGAGGAGAGGCAGCACAAACCTCCCTTTGCAGTGAAAATGCCACATTGTGTGTGCTTCTTACCCCATCACCTCTTTGGAAGTGGCCCCACTCAGCGCTAGCTGAGAATCGCTTCCCTCATACCACTCTCAGTAGTTCACCCCAAGACACACGGGACAACTCTGTACCTGGTAAGTCATTGTGAATCCAATTAATAATGGCATTCAGAAAGTTAGGAATCTTTGAATTATTAGATTCATAGTGATATTCAAAAGAAAGAAAACGACATCATTTCTGTTCCACGCATGTTGCCCACATTCACTGCGTAAAAGGCAAAGGGAACTGTGAGTACCCACAAAGAACCTGATATTGACGGCACATACATTTCTTCATTAGGAAGAATAAATTTAGACTGTAACAATTTAAAAAACCAGAAAATACAACTGTACATTTTAGTTCTTATTAAAATCCAAGAGGTTTAACTTATTTGCTCCTTGTTTAGGTAATTAGTGTCTAAAACATTTCAAAGATAACATATATAGTGGCTACGATTTCTAGTACTTTTTAAAAATTCAAGCCCAGTCTCTTCTAATTAAATGTATAAATGATTTATCTCTGTCTTTCTTAAAAAGAACCAAGAGCCCCAATTAAAAAGTAAAACTTAAATTTCCTCTTAAAAAATTGTTACGTCAAAATTATCTAATAAACCATAGTTCAGAAAATAATTTCTGAATTAGGAAAATATGAATAATAAAACCAACAGTTTATGTGCTGAATTTCACATTTTTATTTTTTATTATTTTTAAAATTTTGTTTTAAGTTCTAGGGTACATGTGCAGGAGTGTTACGTAGGGAAACGTGTGCCATGGTGGTTTGGTCCACCTATCAACTCATCACCTCAGTGTTAAGCCCAGCACGCATTAGCTATTTTTCCTGATGCTCCTCCCCCACCCGCCCTGACAGGTCCCAGTATGTGTTGTTTCCCTTCCTGTGTCCATGTGTTCTCACTGAACCTCACATTTTTAAATACAGCATATGCCAGGTGTCATTTCAGTACCCATAATTATACATAGTATATGTATATGTGTAAATATATGTATATGTGTACATATATGTATGTAATATGTGTATGTAAATATTATGTAAATATGTATGTAAATATATATGTAAATATGTATGTGAATGTATGTAAATATATACACATGTAAATATGTATGTAAAAATATGTACGTAAATATATGTATGTAAATATATGTATATATAAATGTAAAATATGTAAATATTTGTAAATGTAAAATATGTAAATGTAAAATAAATGTAGAATGTCAAATGTAAATGTAAAATGTAAAATAAATGTAAAATGTAAAATAAATGTAAAATGTAAATGTAAAATATGTAAATATATGTATATGTGTAAATATATATGTGTAAATATATATGTATATGTGTAAATATATATGTGTAAATATATATGTATATGTGTAATATATATGTATATGTGTAAATATATATGTATATATAACACAGCATACAGCATATGCCAGGTGTCATTTCAGTACCCATAATTATACATAGTATAATTATACATAGTATAATTAGACTACTATGTTAGCTAAAAAATGTTGATTAGATACAAATGTATAAATTTATCTTCTCTAAACGTGGAAATTCTCTAGAGGCTATTTCCAGCTTCTGTGTGGATTGTAGAGCAGGCTGCTACCTGTACCCCAAAAATGAACACCTTAAAAAAAAGACAACTTTCTCAGCCTCCCTATTGCACACACATATGAAAAATATGTTAAATTCAACGCCAAATATTCCTGAGATCAACACAGCAGTGATCCCAAAGAGAAAATTTCTCTTTGCTAATGGGCACAAACTTGAAGGGCAAAGCAGTGGAAGGGTAAGTCTGCAGACTCGCGTGGGGCTCAAGTCAGAATCACGTGGAAGATCATTGCCACATGTTTTTGTTTTTTTAAATAGCAAACACCACCAAGTGGAGCCCGCCGGGTTTAGTAGATATTAAACCTCTAAGGAGTGGCACATCCGAGACTGAAATTCCCATCTTTTGATTCCCAGCTCAAGGTCTCTGAAATGCCAGCACCAGCTGTGAAATTGTTCTTCTGCATTTTCATGGAGACCTTTTCTTCTATACTGCCATACTCTTTTTTTTGGAACAGTTATACCTGATCTTCCTATTTTTGTGTGTGTTCCACCGAAACTTTTTCACTCTAAATACTTCCCTCTTTCCAACTGAGCATTTACATCTGTAACAAGGACAAAAACATCTAACATCTCTCTCACCCTTGGTTTGTGTTTTGTTTTGTTTGTTTTTGAGACAGGGTCTTGCTCTGTCACCCAGGCTGGAGTGCAGTGGCGTGATCACCGTTCACTGCAGCCTCGAGCTCCTGAGCTGAAGCAATTTTCCCACCTCAACCTCTGAGTAGCTGAGACTATAGGTGTGTGCCACCACGCCTGGCTAATATGTGTATTTTTTGTAGAGATGAGTTTTTGCCATGTTGCCCAGGCTGGTATTGAACTCCTGGCTTAAGTGATCCTCCTGCCTAGGCTTCCCAAAGTGCTGGAAGGAATTACAGGTATGAGCCACCGTGCCTGGCCTCACCATTGTTAAAATTATGGAAATCGTGTTTGCAAAGCAGGTTGGCCTGTTTGGAAAAGGGTGTCATAATTTCTCAGGTAACTCCAAAAAGAGAAAGCTACGAAAATTACCTTAATACATTCATTACAGTCTCAGTATAAGATTATAGCTTCCTCTCCCAAAGCGTAACCACAACCTGACGCAGGATGAGTTGGTTTGAAAATACCGCATACAATATCCTCTTGAGTAGAATCATAATTTAGAACTCTAAAAATGACCGGAAACAAAACTGTCCAAGTTTGTTTAACGTAATGTGTTTCAAATTATTTGACTAGAAAACCCTTCATTCGTGCAACACTTATAAATATCCCATGGCAAATCTAGTTTTCTATGAATAATGAACGAAACATTTATAATTTAAAACTAAAATTGTCTTCTAAGCAGAGATCTACGTATCAATAAAATGAAGAAATAAAATTTCCATACTGTTTGCTTCCCAATACAAGGATTAGAAGGAAAGGGAAAAGAGTAACAGCGAGAATCAATAGCCCATGTCTGGCCAGGCTCCATGGCTCAATCACACCTGTAATCCCAGCAATTTCAGAAGCTGAGGCGGGAGGATCACTGGCCTTTAGTGATCCTTGAATGAAACTCCATCTCTAAAAAATTAAAAATATTAGCTTAGAGAATCATTTGGGCCCAGGAGTTTGAGGCTGTATTGAACTATGACTATGCTACTGCATTCCAGCCTGGGCAACAGGCTGCTTAAACCTGGAGGGGCAGAGCTTGCAGTGAGCCGAGATCGCGCCACTGCACTCCAGCCTGGGCAAAGGAGCCAGACTCCGTGGCAAAAAAAAAAAAGAGATTCTATTCACAATAACAACAAAACCCTGAGAATATATCTAGCAAAGTATACACAGGCCTTTCATGAAGAGTATTGCCATAGCCTGAATGTGTCTCCCAAAATTCATGTATTAAAACTTAATTCCCAAGATGATAGTACTAAGAAGTGGGGCCTTTAAGAAGTGATTAAGACATAAGGGTGAGCCCTCATGCATGAGATTAGTGCCTTCCTTATAAAAGGGCTTGTGGGTGGTGGTAAATCTGTCCCTTCTGCCTCATGAGAACATAGCATTTGCCTGCTCCAGAGGAAGCAGCATTCAACGTACCATCTTGGAAGCAGAGACCAGGCCCTCACTAGACACTGTGTCTGCTGGAGTCTTGATCTTGTTCTTCCCAACCTCCAGAACTGAGAAAATAAACTTCTGCTCTGTGTAAATTACCCAGTCTCAGGTGTTTTGTTATGGCACTATGAAGGGACTAAGACAAATATAAAAATTACCCAGGGACTTAAAGGAAGAACTGACTAAACTGAAATATATGCCATATATATTATGAATCGTAGGACTCAATGCTATAAACATACTACTTCTCAACAAATTAATCTATAAATTCAAGAAATTCCTACACAAATCCCAATAGAATTTTTTTGTGGAACTCGAGAGGCTGATCCTAAAATTCATACAGTCACTTGAGGGACCAAGAATAGTGTAACAGGGCTGGCGGGGCTGGTGGCTCACACCTGTAGTCCCAGTACTTTGGGAAGTCAAGACTGGAGGATGGTTTGAACCCAGGAGTTCAAGACCAGCCTAGGCAACATAGCAAGATGTTGTCTCAAAATATTAAAAATAAATAAATAAATAAATAAAAAGAAGGTTAAGTATGCACATTTTGTTGTGAATTTCAATTTTATAGTGATTTTTTTTTTTTTTGAGACAGGGTCTTGCTCTGTCACCCAGGCTGGAGTGCAGTGGTGCCATCTTGGTTCACTGCAACCTCTGCGTGGGCTCAAGCAATCCTCCCGCCTCACTCTCTGGAGTAGCTGGGACCACAGTTATGTGCCACCACACCTGACTAATTTTTATATATTTTTTTTGTAGAGACGGGGTTTTTCCATGTTGCCCAGGTTGTTCTCAAACTCATCCACCTGCCTTGGCCTCCGCAAGTGAGATCACAGACATGGGCCACTGTGCCCGGTCTAGTGCGCTTTTTTTTTTTTTTTTTTTTTAACCAAACAAACGATGAAGTCTCAGGAGTAAAAGTTGATACACAAGTAAATTTTATTGGTAATGTTTTTGTGTGGTCTTTAAGCAGAGGGAAAATTAGTCTGCATTATGGTGTATCCAGACTAAATAACTGATATTAAAATGAAATTATCCTTAGGATTTGCAATCTTAGAGAAAACTTTTTCATTTTTTTTGAGTTACAAATTATCTTCACTTACATTTGAGAACAGTGAGTCACAGAGGGATTAAGTATCTTACTCAAGATCTTGCAAGTGTTTGGTTTGAACCCAATCTTTTCACTCTGCAGAACTCAGAGTCACTCTTATTTGGAAACTTTTTAACTGATGTGGATCCTCTAATATGGGCTTCCTATTATTCATTCCGTATTAGTCAGAAGTTTTGCAAGCAGGCAGAATTCATTTTGCCAATTACGGGATTTTCCCTCAGTTGCAGTCAAGGTTCATAAAACTATAACTATTTATCTTTAATTATAAATTTTGTTTTTGAGACAAAGTCTTGCTCTGTTGCTCAGACTGGGATCCAGTGGCACAGTAACAGCCCATTGCAGCTTTGAACTCCTGGGCTCAAGGGATCCTCCGCCTCAGCCTCCCAAGTATCTGGGACTACAAGTGCATGCCATCATCCCTGGCTAATTTTGTTAAAAAAAAAAATTGTAGAGATAGGGTCTTGCTTCGTTGCCCAGGCTGGTCTCAAACTCCTGGCCTCAAGCAAGCCTTCAGCCTTGGTCTCCCAAAGGGCTGAGATTACAGGTGTCAGCCATTGCACCTGGCCAAAACTGTAACTATATATACACACACACATAACTACATATATATGTGTGTGTGTATGTATGTGTGTGTGTATATATATTTTTATATATAAATAGATATATCTGAAAGGCATCAAAAGAAAAAAGCTGTAACTTTTAGTCTTGATCTTGATAGTGACTTGATTAGGCTATCTGTTTAACATCAAAGATGCAAATTAATGCTTTCTTTGGGTGAGCATATTAAAAATGCAGAAAATATTGGAGTAGTTTTTTATGTTAAATAAATTGTATTCTGTGTATTTAAGGTATACAACATGATTTTGTGGGATGCATATAGATGGTTAAAAAAATTACTACAGTGAAGCAAATTAACGTATCCTTCAACTCAGATAGTTACCCGTTTTCTTTTTGTTTGGTGGCAAGAGGAGCTTAAAATCTCATTTAGCGTGAATCCCAATACAGTACAATTTTATTACCTATATTTCTCGCGTTGTACATTATATTTCTAGGCTTGTTCATCCTACATATCTGCTACTGTGTAACCTCTGAGCTATGTCCACCCATTTTCTCTCTTGCCCCCCAAGTAATTTCCTAAAGTGTCTCATATAAAAAGGCAGTAGCTTTCAGCTTAAACTTTTTCTCTGTATATATTTAAGTCAATTTCTTTGAGGTATGTTTTTCTCTCCAGAATAGTTAGATGTAGGCATACCACTTTAATGTTGACACTAGTTCACCTAGAACTTATCTTCTGCAAATCTGTCTCTATGTCCATCTCTGTCTCCATCTTTGTCTCTATCTTTATCTCTGTCTATCTATCTATCCATCCATCCATCCATCCATCTATCTATCTATCCATCTATCTGTCTATCTAACTAAAGCAAATTCATGCCCTTCTCCTATTTATGGAATCGAGACCATAAACAGAGGTGAGGGAAAGAATTTGGCAGGAATTGCGATGTGTATTACCTGTGGCATAAGGAAACTACAGAACTAGGGTCAAAAGTATACTTTCTAGTTCTTTCCCATGGCTTTTCACTTTGATGTAGTCCTTATCAGGCAACTGAGGTTTTATATAAGTCCCCTGATTCTTAGAACATGAAGGTGTAGTATTCAAGTTTGGTCCCTTGAAACCACAATTTTTGTTAAAAAAATTTAAGAAAATTGTATGATTTCCTCAGCAAATACATATTGATCATCTGTTATACAGCCATGAGAAGTGGTTCTGTTGAACACGTTTATTTTATCAGATCCCAATTCTAAACCAGGCATAGAATGGAAACCATGAAGGTAGGATGAAATAACTTCTGAATGTTTGAAAATAGTGTACTTAAAAATAAATATCAGGTGTTTTTGTTTTGTTTTTTGTTTTTTGTTTTTGAGACAGGGTCTCACTCTGTCACCCAGGCTGGAGTGTGGTGGTGCCATCTCACCTCATTGCAGCCTTGACCTCCCAGGCTCGGGTGATCTCCCACCTCAGCCTCCCAAGTAGCTGGGACTACAGGCACATGCCACCATGCCCAGCTAATTTTTTGTATTTTTTGTAGAGACAGGGTTTCACCATGTTGCCCAGGCTGGTCTAGAACTCCTGGGCTTAAGCGATCTTCCCACCTCAGCCTCCCAAAGTGCCAGGATTACAGGCATGAGCCACCATGCCTGGCTGAAAATACCAGGTTTTTAAGTATCAGCACTGCCTCTTCAATCTTTTCTATTACTATGTTGTGCTCAGTGGTATTTTTTATTGAATTAGAGCAGTGCTGTTCAATGGAACCTTCTTTGAGGATGGAAATCTTTTATGTCTCTGCTGTGTGGGTATGGTATTAACTGGGTATGGGGCACCTGCCTATAGTCCCAGCTACTCAAGAGGCTGAGGTGGGAGGATCACTTGAGCCCAGGAGGCCGAGTCTGCAGGTTCGTACCACTGCAATTCAGCCTGTGTGACAGAATGAGACTCAGTCTCAGAATAAAATGAAATAAGGAAATAAAAATGTAATTGTTGAAATAAGAAACTAGTGGATGGATTAGACACGAGAAGAAAGAATTAATTGTTTAGACGATTCTCTCCAAAAAGTAAGTCAGCATGTCACACAGAGAGACATGAGGATAGATGATAGGGCAGAAGTTGGTGGGCTTGGAGGGGAGAGGAAGATCAGAATGAGGTCCAAAATGTGTCTTAGTGAAATCCCAGGAGGAGATATTAAAATTATATTAGAAAGTGAAAGAAATAGAAGTTTTATTTATTTATTTATTTATTTATTTTGAGAAGGAGTCTCGCTCTGTAGCCCAGGCTCGAGTGCAGTGGCACGATCTGAGCTCACTGCAAGCTCCACCTCCTGGGTTCACGCCATTCTCCTGCCTCAGCTTCCCAAGTAGCTGGGACTACAGGCACCCACCACCACGCCTGGCTAATTTTTTGTATTTTTAGTAGAGATGTGGTTTCACCTTTTTAGTCAGGATGGTCTCAATCTCCTGACCTCATGATCCACCAGCCTCAGGCTCCTAAAGTGCTGGAATTATACGCATAAGCCACTGCACCCGGCCCAAAAGCTTTGTGTTTTTACAAATATTACACACGTTTCTTGTTTAAGAAAAAAAGTCTTCACAATAACGTAGGAGAATAAGAGAAACATTTTTCCAAAAAAGAGAAGTCATTGTGATTATTTTATCTTATTGGAATGTTGGATAATATAGTCTGCTTCAGTAATCATCAAGCATGCTATGGATTTTCCATTTTCATAGGATCTGTATCTCGGTTAAGGTAATACTGGTAATTTTTGTACTCTATGAAAAATATAGGCCAAAATCATAGACCTTGCATAGAAGCTGGATCATGAAGACAGCTCTGGAGGAACACACAGGTACACACACACAGACACACATATATATAAAGTATACACATATATATTTTTTAAAAGCTTTTAAAGCAAAAGCCGGCCCTGCCCCTCTCCCAGAGTTGGCGGCCTCTCCCCTCTCTTAGAGTGGGTGGGGACAGTGGTTGCATGGGCAGCTTTCCTCGTGAGCCAAAGGTCCCTCTGGACACATGATGCCTGGCCACGCCCCCTTTCCCTTTCATCTTTCTCATTAACCAATGGTCTTGGAGCATTAAGGCCACGCCCCTATTCTGCCTTCTACTGCATCCCTGGTTACGCCTCCTCTGGCTCAGTCGCACAGCTACCTGGTAGGTGACTGGAGGTGTTGATCAGTGCTTGGTGGGATTTTGCTGATGTGGCCCCAAGCCCGCCTCCCTCCCCACCCTGCGATGGCAGAAGAAACTCGACAAAGTAAATTGGCAGCAGCCAAGAGAAAGGTAAAAACACACCAGGTCACGGACCCCCAACCCAGCCATAGATCCTCTCCAACGACAAGACTGCTGCCAGAGTCCATACCACTCCCGAGGTTCACCGGACTGGGACCCCCACACCGGTGCCTCTGGGCTACCCCCACCAAAGTTTTGCCAGTCAGCCCCACCCCTTCAGCAAGCAGCCCAGTCTCTGCCCTCACCAATCACCCCAGGGTGACTTTGGGCAGGTGAATCCTGGGGATCCCCGCTCCTTTACTGGGCCCTCATCTCCTGCCACCCCAAGCTTGACCTCCCAGGGCTTTTTGGGCTCACATCTCCAAGGACCTGGGTCCCACAGCCCCAGACCCCACCCTCACCAGTCATCCCTGGGTGACTTTAGGCTGGTGAATCCTGGGGCTCCCTGCTGCTGACTCTTCCCTTCCCTCCTGCTGCCTCAAGGTGGACCTCCCTAGGCTGTGTGCACTGGTGTCTCCAAGGACCTGGGTCCCAGCTCTGTTTTTCCCTCCCCTATCATGGAGCGATGACTCGGACATCATGCTGATGTGGTCCCTCCCCCTCACCAGGAAGAGTGGAATGTAGTGATGTCACGGTCCATCCAGTAACTGTCATTACTGCAAGACTGGCCTTTGATCTTATGACCCAGTCCCCTAAGCATTGCCACCCCATTTCTGGTTCCTCTTGTCACAGCACAAATTTCCAGCTGGAAGGGGAATGGAGATTGGGACCTAGGAGCAAGAGGTTTCAGGCTGCCTCACTCCCTTAACATAAACACTGACAGCGGGAAAAGCCTACACTTCCCCTGTGAGCTCAAAACATTGACAGTACCTCTGGATGGCAACTGGAGAATGGGTTTGACTTGGTTTGGTTTTCTCCCAGGCTTCTACTTTCCAGAGAGATTTTAACAAATTTTTTGTGAGTTCTCCACCTCACATTCTAATTCTCCATGGTTCTGGGACCAGACTGCCCTTCAGTCAGTGGTCTGTGAAGTGAGATTTGCTCATCTTCTGTGGAATAGATCTTGGGAAACTGAACTTGACAGCTTGAATCTTCCTCATATTATGTAAACCTGGGGTACTTTGAGTGCCACAGGATACATATGGGACATCTTTCTGAAGCATCAGTTTCCATTGATTCTCTTGAGATCAAGAGAAAAAACATTAATGTACTTAGGGATGACAGTCACATAGGTTTCTAAGAGTATACCAGACCTCTCTCTGAAATGAGGCTTGGGTTGTCCTCTTTCTGATAAATTCCCAGATTTAACAGAAAGGCTGCCTTCTGCCATGAGGATACATTGATATAAGAGTTTGAGAGGTACTGGTGCACTTCTTCACACTAACAGACGTGTGAGGATGTATGACTCTAAACCACATGGCATACAGTTCCTGCCTACTTAATGTTTACTTTTCTACCTCTGCCTCTGGTTTTGGTCCCTGGCAGCTGCTGATTCTTGGTAATACCCCAGAGTTTGGAGTCAGAAGACTGAGTTTCAAAGTTCGTCTGTCGCCTTTTTCTTTTCTTCTTTTTTTTTCTAGCCATGATATCAATCTCTTTGAGTCACTAAATGATTGTGACAACACCTTGTACAGTTGTTGGTGTCATTAAATCAGATGGTGTATAAGAGTATTTTATAAAAACTGTAAAGGAGGATGTGGCTGCAGGGGCTGATAGTTCTCATGAGTATTACTGCTCTTGTTTCTGACAGTTAAAAGAATATTGGCAGAGAAACAGCCCTGGTGTTCCAGCAGGAGCCAAGAGGAACAGGAAAACAAATGGCAGCATCCATGAGACAGCCACTTCTGGTGGTTGCCACTCACCTGGAGATGTGAGTCTTGGCTGACTAGGTTCCTGGGGACAGGGGACCCAAGGGGCACTAGAGGGTAATTGTTAAGATTGTGGATGGACTGTTGGGTACCTGTGAAGAATTCTGGGTTTGAATCCTGCCTCTTTGTCTGCTAGGGATATGAATTAGGGCAAGTTGCTTGACCTCATCGGGCCTCTCTTTTCACATCTGTATAATAGAGGTGGTATTGTTTCACTTCCATTTGTGAAGTTTAAATGAGATCTGTTATTGTTGTTTTTATGTTAATCCCTAGTACATGGCCTGCTGTAAACACCCAGAACACCCAGGATATGGTCATTGCTGTTCGATTTTCCTCATCCCCAGTCTCAAGGGGAAGCCAGGACAATGAGAACAGTCACTTGGCACAGGAGTCACTGAAAGGGCCGCAGGGTGCTGTGGTGGGGAGATAAGAACCATGAGAGAAGTTGGCACAAAGGAGTTATGGGACAAAGGGTCCAAGATAGGCAGAAAAGAAAATTGTGCCAGTTGATGGGGAAGAAAAGAAGTCAGAGGGCTTAGATACTGAGTGGGACAGAACATCTTCATGTGCACTCTCATCTCTTGTAGTCAGCAACAGGTATCCACGGGGAGAGCCCTACATCATCTGCTACCCTGAAGGATCTGGAGGTAAGAGGCTCTGGGCAGAGGTGCAGTGACCCTGCAGGGCAGCCCTCCAACCTCCTCCTCCAGGTGGGACGGGGTGCCCCTCTGCCAGCTGAGACAGTCCACACACACCCCAGCCCTAATGATTGCTCTCTCTACCTCTCCCCCCACTCCTCCTCCACCTCCTCCTCTCTGCATGCGCCTCAGAGCCCGTGCCAAGAACTAGCAGTAGTCCCAGACTCGAGGTCCGTAAAAGTCAGTCAACTGAAGAACACCATCAAATCTTTGGTAAGAGTCCACTGGGGTCCCCTGATTCCACGCTGCCAATCCTGGGCTCTAGTTTCTCCTTGGGGCCCTGAAGAAAGGGGACAGGGGCCCCTGGTGCCAAGGGCGAATAGGGAGCTGGGGCACCCAGGCCTCACCTGGAGGGACCCCGGAGCATGCAGCATGGCTCTTTTTTTGCTGCCCTGTTTGCTGACTCTCCCCTCTCCAGACGCCCCTGCTCGAGTCCTTGCTACACACGCCCTGGGATTGTTGCCTCTTGGGGAAGTGCTAGCCTGACTGGTTGTCAGGGGCCCTGTATTTCTGCCATGACTCAGTCCCTAATTTGCTCTTTGATTCTGGACAAGCCACCTCTCCTTTTTGGGCTCGTGTTTCCAGAGGAAGTAGTGAGTATCATAGGTCTCTGTTAGCTCTGAGAGTCTGAGATTTAAAGGCCTCCTAGAATGGAAACCTCAGGGCCAAAGGCTCCTGTCTGTCCTTTTCCGCCCTAAATCTGCTGTGAAGAACCGTACTTGGCCCGTACGTGCTCAGTAAATGTTTATTGAATGAATGCACTTTTCTAAATCACAAGCTGGCAGAAGGGGGGGCCTTTCTCAAACTCCATCTCTAGAGGTTTATGTTACTGTCCTGTCAAGAGATTCCAGATTCAGACCTTGAGTTCTGTGGCTGTGGACAAAAGCCAACAAAGACCCAAATCCTCTGTCCTTGGGAGCTTGAGGAGAGTTTACCAGTTCGTGTTCCCACTGGGTCTGAGAACTTTGCCTTTAAAATCCATTCCTGGTCCCTGCCTACCACTTCCTGCTCTGGGGAATAGAGTTGAGGGGGCCACCCTCCATCACCTTAATGTGACTCTCCCCACAGAAACAACAGAAGAAACAAGTGGAACATCAGCTGGAAGAAGTAACATGATTTCTTTGTTTGCTCGCGACATGACTGCTCGGTTTGGGGGACACTCAGATGTAGAGGCCCCGAGTCTCGTCTCACCCACTCCCAGCCTGGGGAAGAAGGCTCACCCCCCAGAGTCCACCCCATCCCCCACAGGGTCCCTGATAACCCGGTCCCATGGGTGGGCCTGTCCCGGGGCAGGGGCAGTGGTGGCATTCTGGGGACATGTCTCTTGCAGTACCATCTCTGCCTCCGCCTGGTTAGATCTCTGTCTTCCTCTTCCTACAGGAAAAGAAAGCAAACAACGAGAAACAGAAAGCTGAAAGGGGGCTAGAGGTGAGTGGACAGTGTGCAGTTTTCTCCTGTCCTCCGGAGAATGTTTCTTTCCTTCTCTTTCAGCACTTGCTTGGCTTTTCTCCCAAAGGTTCAAATCCAGAGATTGAACATACAGAAAGGGAAACTAAATACGGACCTGTACCACACGAAACGTTCTCTCAGATACTTTGAAGGTGGGAATCTGGGTACCCTGTCATCCTTCAACCTGGGACTTTGACAGGTCTTCAGGGGGAGTCCTTTGGGCCCCATCTCAACTCTCTCATTACAGAAGAGTCCAAGGATCTGGCCGTCCGTCTGCAACATTCATTGCAGCGTAAAGGAGAGTTAGAGCGGGCTCTCTCTGCTGTCACCGCCACACAGAAGAAGAAGGCGGAGAGGGTGAGTCCAACCACCTGCCGCGTCCCCTGGTAGCCTGGCTTCACAGACAGAGGAGTGAGCCTAAAGGTCCCTTCTGCAGGATGGAGTGTCCTGCCCAGAAGGCAGCATGGCCATTTCTCACTGCTTTTTTGTATGGTTGTTAGCGGCAGCTTGGGACTGAGTCAGCTGCTGTGGGTGAGTGGGGGGGCACTCTGGGGAGAGAGCACAGGACGTAGAGCTTGGAGGCCAAGTGCCTGCCATGCCTTTACCTGGCTGTGGTCTTGGCCAAGTCCTAAGTGGGGTATTGGGTACTTGTACTGTGAAGGTACAGAAGAGTACCTTTAGTATGTTACCATTTCTGTAGAGAGAGGAAACGTGTGTGTGTGTGTACATATTATGATAATATACATAAAATATGTTTGCAAGTGTTCATAAAAACTCAGGAGAGAGCAACAGGGTGGCTGGGAGATACTTCCCTTCTGTACCTTCTGAGTCTGGGACTATGTGAATGTATTATCCTTTCAAAAAGTGAACAAAAGATTAATTTTCCCCTTCCTAGCTGTGCCCCCACCCCCAGCAAGAAAAATGGGCTTAGAGAATTGGATAGATCTGGGTGTTTAAATCCCAGCTCTGCCTAAGTGATCTTAGGCAAGCACTTAACCTCAAATACTCCATGTTTTTTCATCTACACAATAGAGGTCATCATAGTAACTGTCTCCCATGGTGGTTGCGAGGATTAAATGGGATTGCTAGCATGGTATCTGGTGAAGCACTCCATAAAAGTTCAAACAGTGGTAATAATAACAGTAATAACAATAGCAATATTATCTGATCTCTCTGGGCCTCTGTTAGCCAGCTATAAATTCGATCTCTTTCCCTGTCCCTTCCAACTTTACTGAGTTCTTTAAAAACCAAACCACGGGCTTGGAAATGCCTTGATCTTTACTGACCGAGTTGTATATTGGGCCTAGCCCTGGCCCTTTTAAGGGGCACTGTGTGGAATGGCCCGGCCTCCCCAGATTGAAACTTCTCACTCTTCAGCAGTTCTCCAGCCGCAGTAAAGCACGTATGGAGTGGAAGTTAGAGCAGTCCATGCGGGAGCAGGCACTGCTGAAAGCGCAGCTGACACAGGTGAGGTGTTCAGAGGGAGGGATGTGGAAGGAAGATGACCCCAGGTAACCAGGAGCAGGTGAGGACCAGTGACAGCCCTTCCTAATTTCTGTGCCCATTCTTGCAGTTGAAGGAGTCACTTAAAGAAGTCCAGCTAGAGAGGGATGAATATGCTGAACATCTAAAAGGAGAGAGGGCCCGGTGGCAGCAGAGGATGAGAAAAATGTCGCAGGAGGTGAGATCTGACCCTTCAGCCCCCCCACATTAGATAGGTCACTGGATCTTTCTGGGCACCTGTAAAATGGGAATAGTAGAGCCAGAGGTGGTCCTGGGACTGGGCTTTGTGGAGGTGGGGGCAGAGAGGGAGATGGTAGCATGTCCAGCCTCCAGCCCCTCTCTCCAGGGCCCTTTCCCCCTGTGCTTTGGGCAGGTTTGCTCGTTGAAGAAGGAGAAGAAGCATGATAAATATCGGGTAGAGACGCTGGAGAGGAGCTTGTCCAAACTCAAACACCAGATGGGTAAGATGGGGCTGGCGTGACCTGGCAGCAGGACTGGCATCAGAGGGCTGTGAGGGTGGCTTGGAGTGCCCCAGCGAGGTGGGTGGATGGGAAGGGCTTTGAGGCAGAGGGAAAGAGGTCTGTGCCAGGAGACGGCAAGTCTTGTCATCTCAATGAGCCTCAGTGTCCCCATCAGCAAAGAGGGCCCGTTGTCAGCCACCCGCAGTGCTCTTTCTCTGAAAGTGGTTTGGAAGACTGGCTACCATCTGGGTGCGAGGAATCATTAGCAGTGAGGCCAAGTTTGAGGAGCCTGAGAGGAGCTGTGCGCCAAGAGGAGGGTTTTTCTTTTCCGAGAATCCAGAGGCCCTTATTATCTGCTTCCTTTCTCAGCTGAACCCTTGCCCCCGGAGCCCCCAGCAGTGCCCTCTGAGGTGGAGCTGCAGCACCTGAGGAAGGAACTAGAGAGAGTGGCAGGAGCGCTCCAGGCCCAGGTGGAGTACAATCAGCGCATAAGTCTCCTGAATGAGGGGCAAAAGGAGAGACTTCGGGAGCAGGAGGAGAGGCTTCAGGAGCAGCAGGAGAGGCTTCGGGAGCAGGAGGAGAGGCTTCAGCAGCTGGCCGAGCCACAGAACAGCTTCAAGGAGCTGGTGCGTTGCCCCAGCTGGGGAGCCTGCCCTCCTCCCTAGCCCTCCAGGCCTTTGTTTCCCCACCTATAAAATGTGGCAGTGTAGCCCTCAAGTGAAATGTTACTCCTAAAGGCACCTGTGAGCCAGAGCCCTGCTCTGGTGGCTGTGGGAGACAGGGGATGATTTTTCTAACCTGCCTCCACCCTTCCCGGTGCCATGGGAGGCAGTCACCAAGTTCTGGGGTCTCCAGCTGCAGTGGGTGGCTGCTGATTGCTTCTCTCTGTCCAGAACAATGAGAACAAGAGCGTACTACAGTTGGAGCAGCAAGTAAAGGAGCTGCAGGAGAAGCTAGGCAAGGTGAAGGAGACGGTAACCTCCACCCCATCCAAGAAGGTCTGGGAGGTGGGCACCAGCCTCTGGGGAGGGGAGGTGCCAGGCCAGAGGCAGCTCCAGCCCGGGGGCAGGTGACCCCAGCACCCTCCAGGGCAGTCCTGTGGCTGTTTCTTGCTTCCTGCCCTCTGATTTTAGAGGTGGGTAGCCCTGGGCTCCTCCCAGGTCTGGACATCATCATTCCAGCTAGAGACATGGAGCACCCCCAATCACAGGGGAAGAGACAGAGTGGTATAACAGTCTTCTTATGCCAGACGCGGTGGCTTACGCCTATAGTGCCAACACTTTGGGAGGCTGAGGCAGGAGAATCACTTGAGGTTTGGAGTTTGAGATCAGCCTGGCCAACATGGTAAAACCTCATCTCTACTAAAATTACAAAAACAAAAAACAAAAAAAGGAAGAAAAATTAGTGGGGCATGGTGGTGGCGCATGCCTGTAATCCCACCTACTCAGGAGGCTGAGGCACGAGAATTGCTTGAGCCCAGGAGGTGGAGGTTGCAGTGAGCTGAGATTGCACCACTGCACTCCGGCCTGGGCCACAGAGTGACACTCTGTCTCAAAACAAAACAAAAAGACTCCTTAGATTAAAACTGGATTCCAGCCTCAGTTCCACTGGTCACCATTCAAGTACTTCGCATCTCTAAGTCTCTGTTTCTTTAACTTCAAAAGGAAGTTAGCATTTTCCTTACAGAGGTGCTGAGGATTAAATGAGATAATACATGGGAAGCATTAGGCCTGTAGCACATTTAGCAGATGGTGGTTGGCTCCCACTACTTTTCTACCATTCTGTGGCCTACAGTTGAAATGGTGGGAAGAGGACATGAGATTTGAGGCTGGGGAAGGAGGCATGGGGTTCTAGGAAAGGGAGGCAGTCACTTAGGCCTGGAGTAAGGGGCCAGGGGCCTGGGCAGGCGACAGAGCCCCACAGTGCCCTCGCTACCCTATTAATGGGCCCAGAATCTGGAAACCAGCCACCACGTGCCCTCACACCCAGGGTCTTCCTGCAGGTGGAGCTGAAGAGCCAAGAGGCTCAGAGTCTGCAGCAGCAGCCAGACCATTACCTGGGTCACCTGCAGCAGTACGTGGCCACCTATCAGCAGCAGGTGGCCGCCTATCAGCAGCTGACCTGTGAGAAGGAGGCGCTGTACAGGCAGTGACTGCAGCAGACCCAGCTAATGAACCAGCTGCAGCAGCAGGAAGCTTGGGGCAAAGCGGTGGCCGAGATGGCCTGCCAAAAGTTGCAGGAGGCCCAGGGGAGGGAGCTGCCGAGGATGGGGCCGTGAGGGGGACGACCTGGCAAACTCTGTGCCTTCTCACTCTTTCCTGGCCCCTTAGGAGCGCCTGGAAGCTGCCAGCCAGCAGAAACAGCAGCTAACGGCCCAGTTGAGCCTCATGGCTCTCCCTGGGGAAGGTACGGGAGACCGCTCAGAGGAAGAGGAGAGAGCCCCAGGAGGAAGGGGGGACTGCTAGCAGCATAGGATTGAGGAGTTGGAAGAGACCTTTAGAACAGCTGGTCATTATACTAACCGGGTGCCTGCACTAAGTTCAGCATCAATATGGTGACCTCCTGGGAGCGGGGGGCCACCAAGTTGCCTAAGGATGGCTGAACTGGCCGAGGTCAGAAAGGGAGCAGGTCAGAACTCCCACACCGACCAGTAGTGGGAATGTGCCTGGGCAGTATAGCAAGATCTTGGTTCTTCAAAGTAAAAATAAATAACAGCAGCTCATTCCTCTCTGGGGAGGGCCTGGCTCAGGGTTACACAATGAGGGTGGAGGCAGAGGTGGGCCCACAATACTTCCCTTGTTGAGTTGTCTGAAGACCCCTCTGGCCACCCCCAACAGGACACGGAGGAGAACATCTGGACAGTGAGGGGGAGGAGGCACCTCGGCCCATGCCGAGTGTCCCAGAGGACCTGGAGAGCAGGGAGGCCATGGTGAGCCTGACTCCCCCTGCACCCATTTTGCCACCTTTCTCTGTGGTCCCTCCAAGACCCCTTTATGCTCTTCGTTTCCCTGCCTTCTGATTTCTCTGGACCCTCACCCCTTCCGAGAGCCAGTGGTCAGACACCATTTCACCTGTGGCCAACAGGTGCACTCTCTGAGGCCCCAAGGGAAGGGGCTGCGCTCCACCTCTCTGCCCCATTTCTTCTGTGTATGCCCCTAGAAGAATGCTCACATCTTGCCCTCAGGTGGCATTTTTCAAGTCCGCTGGAGCTAGTGCCCAGGAGAAGCAGGCACAGTTACAAGAGCAGGTGAAAGAGCAGAGGGTGTGCTGCCAGCGCCTGGCTCACCCGGTGGCCTCGGCCCAGAAGGAGCCAGAGGCAGCGGTCCCAGCCCCAGGGCCTGGGGGCGAGTCTGTGAGTGGGGAGACCCACCGGGCCCTGCAGGAAGTCATGGAGAAGCTGGCCCATGCCGGAACTCACCTCCGCCTTCTCCATGACTTGAAAATGCCACCTGAGGGCAGGTCGCTGCCGAGATGTGACCCCATTATTTTGGCTCCAGAGCGGCTTTATGGACCACCTGGAGGAGAAGGCAGACCTGAGTGAGCTGGTGGAGAAAGAAGAACTTGGATTCTTCCAGTACTACAGAGAGAGATGCCATCAGTGAGTGGGAGGCCAGGGCATGGCAGGGGGAGCTGCAGGGCTGTTGGAGGGGCCCCAGCGTCTGAGCCCTGTCCTCCCGCAGGAAAGTTTATCACCCTATAACAAAGCCAGGGGGCAGTGCCAAAGATGCAGCACCGGGAGGAGGACACCATCAGGCTGGCCCTGGACAGGGAGGAGATGAAGGTAGAGTGTGCAACATCTCTGCGGGGGTGGGGGTGGCTGTGACGGTGAGCGCTGGCAGCAGCGTGACAGCTGAGCACCCCTCCCTCCAGGTGAAGCTGCTGGAGCTGCAGGAGATGGTGTTGCAGCTGGTGGCGACTACAAGGGACACAGCAAATTCTTGGTGACTGCCCAGAACCCTGCTCATGAGCCCAGTCCAGGAGCCCCAGCCCCCCAGGAGCTTGGGGCTGCCCACAAGCATGGTGGTGAGTAGAGCCCTCAGGCGGGGTGGGCAGGCAGGAGCAGGGGGGCTCTCACTGAGCTCAGATCCCCACCTCCCTCTCTCCAAAGATCTTTGTGAGGTGAGCCTCACTGACAGCGTGGAGCCTGTGCAAGGAGAGGCCAGGGAGGGTTCTCCCCACGACAAGCCTACTGCACAGCCGATCGTGCAGGACCACCAGGAGCACCCAGGCTTGGGCAGCAACTGCTGTGTGCCATTCTTTTGCTGGGCTTGGCCGCCAAGAAGAAGGAGATAAACATGACCATCGTCAAAGAGCTGCTCAAGAAATTTTTAAAAAAGAAACAAAGTTATGGGGTTAATCTCCTACACAATTCATTTACTTCGTTTGAATGTTATAGCCACTTATGATTATTTGTGTTTCTAATTTATAGTTTAAGTTTATTTGTAAATAGTTAAAAGAGAGTGGGTCTCTGTGGCTTTCAC
Source organism: Homo sapiens (assembly GCF_000001405.40). Taxonomy (NCBI): domain Eukaryota; kingdom Metazoa; phylum Chordata; class Mammalia; order Primates; family Hominidae; genus Homo; species Homo sapiens. Next base: position 20,572,930 of record NC_000015.10, read on the forward strand.
TGATGTTCACTCTGGCATACTTTCGCAATTTTCTTTTTCAATTTCATGATTGTAGGTTATTAGCATGCATATTGAGTTTGCCCTTACGTGGTGGGAGTTCAAACACACAAAGACCCACTATTTGCACAAAACTATTCTTGCTGGTTTGGAATAGGCTGCCATGTGTTTTTAATGTTATTGCAGCATGTATATTCATTACAGAATTCAGATAAAATTTGCCTATGTTCTGCTATTGTTTGATCTAATCTTAATCACAGTGAGCTCTTCATTAGCACAATATGTGGTTTGCCCCAAGTGTGCACTATTTAATACTTTGTAATATGCCACCAAGAGTACTGACATTTAGAGTTGTTTAAAGGCCGAGAACTGGAAACAGCCTTTCCCTCATTTTCTGTGTATTGGTGATGGGAGTAATAACATTTTGGGGGAGCTTTTTAAATTTCACAGAAGAGGAAAGTTGCCTGCTCTGGCAGGTATGTGCAAGATAGAGTGTGTTTCATTTGTTCTGTTGCCAAGAATTAGTGCTGTACTATTGTAGTTCCTTTAGGATTTGTATGTGCTCTGGGCTCATGAAGATATTGCATCATGAGCTGCAGCAGTTGTACTCTTTTTTGATGACCTAAAAAGGGCTTATTTCTGAGGAATGAAAGGTTCCCATCATTGACTATGGATGTGGAAAACCTTTCCTAGCTTAGAGCATTTGTATCTATATTTTAAAGTCAGAGTTCATGTTACCTGTTTTAATCACATGACTGCATGTCCCAGTACACAAAAGGGCACTGGTTGGCATTCTTCTTAATGTATTTAGTAAAGATCAGAAGAAATCCTTTAAGAGTTTAAATGTCCCTGGAACACGCATACAGGCTCTAGTCAAGAATGAATTAGAGTGAAGGAAAGCTGTGTGACACCTGGCATTCCTCTGTTCATGGAGCTTCTTTGAGGCTTGAAGATTGATTTTACCATCTAGACCACTCTGCCTATTCTTCAACCACCTTGGTTACTTTGACATAGGAATTGACTTCTTTTCCTTGAATGGAAAACACTTTGAAATAATAATAAACATTGTTATAAACTAATATATGTGAGAGTGCTTAGTTGAAACAAAAAGGAGTTTTAGTAGACAGTATTATACTATCTTTGAAAATCAAGGAGAAGTTTATGCAACTTAAAATGTGTACAAACTGCAGTGCAATCTACTGTTGGTGAATGTCAGTGTATTATCAGGAAACATGTCTATACAATCACAGAGTTATATTTCCTCACAAACTTCTTTGTGAAGAGTGAAATGTGTTTCTGTACCTCTGGGTTTCACTTACGGGCATATTTTGTGCAGTAGTTATGTGATTGTGCCTATGCATGATGAATGAATGAATTTCAGTTGTACATTGCCTAAATCATAACTTGATGATGCTTGGGAAAGACTCAACAGTTAAAACTTCATGAAGTTCTAATGTCTGTGTTCCAAAACACATCACATTATTAGGATGTAGGGAGATATGTATGTGTGCTCCCTGGGGTGGGGATTTCTAGTTACTAGACCATCTCCATTTTTAGCATTTGGCATCCTCATGATACTTTTATAAATACGACATTAACAGGAGAGCAGCAGTACGATTTTGCCGATGGAATAACAGATTTGCCGGCAATCACTGAAAGAGTGCAAATATCGGGTCCTTGTGACTTCAACGGACTCTTCCAAATTGTATGAATGTATCAATGTATTAGATAAACCCAGTTTCAGAATGATAAAGAAAAAATGTTAGACCAAATAATGCGGCTAGTTAACAGTGGTACGATTTCTAGCCCGTGGCTTTAAAATGCACTTAAAGTCCTGTCCTTGCCTTTTATTTTCTGAACTTGATGTTTTTGCATTCTTTGAGTTCAGTTTAAAGACAACTACGAGCATCTGTAACCAATCTGACAATAATGTGTTCATCAGGTGCCTATGGATTAAATCACATACTGGCATATTTAAGCTGAATGTCAATCTGGAAAATAAATTGACTGTATTAACAGAAATACCACTCTTTGTGTAGATATTTGTCGTATATTTAAGAAAAAGCTAAAAAGAATGGAAATCGCATGACTATAACTTAAGTCTTTCTTCAAAGTGCATGCAGTCTTTTGCGATACCTCATTCAGCCAAGTATTGGTATTCTTCCTCATTCGGTATAAGGCAGCTTTCAATTTGCTTAGAAGGCAACATTGGAAGGTTAGAGTTCATCAGAAACAGAATTCTAAAATGTGAGTTCAATTCAATAAATTTGAATTTCTGTAGGAAGAATCAAATCACCGATTTAAAGAGTGCAATATATAATAATCATTTTTAAAGTATTGGATTAAATCTGATAGGTTTTCCAGAAATGAACAAAAATCAGCTCTAAAACCAAAGCTGATTTTTAGAAAATTTGAAAATGTAAATCAGCCCTATCCATACTATAGTTTCTCTAAAACTTTATCTGAAAGAGTCATTTTAAAATAACTATTAAACAATGTAACTGCTATCTTAATGTTCTGAAATAAGTTAAAACATTTTAAAATATGAATACTGTAAAGGAAATAAATGGTGGGAAGGAAAAGTAGAGAAAGAAATGCCAATTCCAGTCCAAAGCTTTATTTGCCAAGTTTTCTTAGAATGAATTTTACCAATTTATGAATTCTTGTAAGCGGAATGTAAAACGGAAATACTGAAAGACTTTTGCCTAAAGTGGCATTATTGACTGCTGGTGTGATGATACTGTAATGTAATAAATTATTAAGTTGTTGCAAAGTGCTGTTTTTGCCTTAAAATTTTATTCTGTGTGTCTTGAAAAATATAGTATTAAAGGTATTGATACTGTGCAAATGCTGAGCATGCTTGGCATGAGATAATGTTTCATTTTTACAAAATTGTAATATAACTATGCAAGGGTTTATTAAAAGAACACAAAATAAAAAAGTTATGGGATTAACAAAAGTTATGGGGTGAAAAAGTTATGGGATAAAAAATGTAAAAAAGTTGTGGCAAAAAAATCTTGTGACCAAAAAGTAGAAGAAAGTTTTATGAAAAGTTACCAAAAAAAGTTATGAAAAAGAAGTTATGGGATTAAAAAAAAAAGGCATGGGATAAAAATAAAAATTAAAATTAAAAGCAGGCCCCTGTCAGCAAAGCCTGGAGAAGTGGGGCTGGGGTCTCTCCACCACCACACTGTCCCTATCTCCCCTTCCCAGTCACCCCTTTACAATTAGGGTAGCAAGACAAGACCACTGTCTAACGAGGAAAGACAAACAGACCCTTTGCCACCTTGACCAGAGCTGAGTCCTTAAATTTCTGGATGATATTGTTATTTAAGAGCCAGAGGCTGGTGGAGTTGGTTTGTTTGGAGGAGGCCTCATGGCCTCCTTACTCTCACCATAGCAACTTTTCCCTCAGTGGGGGCTCGAATCTTCTTATTCAGAGAGGTAGCTGAGGCAGGACAGTGGGGCTAACTGTGGACCAGGTGAAGGCATGGGCTGCTGGGGTGGCCCCCCTTCCCCGGTGTATATATTGTGTCTGTGTAAGGTTTTGTATATTCCAGAGGGTAGGGCCACCCCTGTATCATACCTAGCGGTGGTTGGAGGTGGCACATGGGGAGGAGGTTCTAATAATTATTTGTGGCTGGGAAACTTACTTATTGCTAGCATAGGACAGAGGAAGAAGGCAGGGATGGGGTCATGGCTTCCCAGTGGTGTGATCACAGTTCACTGCAACCTCCAACTCTCATGCTCAAGTGATCCTCCCACCTCAGCCTCCCAGGTAGCTGGGAGTATAAGCATGCACTACTATGCCTGGCTAATTTTTAAATTTTTTGTAGAGAAAAGGTCTTGCTATGTTGCCCATGCTGGTCTTGAACTCCTGGGCTCAAGCGATTCTCCCATCTTGGCCTCCCAAAGCACTGGGGTTACAGGCATGAGACATTGCTCCTGTCCATAAGATTTTCTCTTTATTACTGTTTTGTTGTTGGTGGTGGTGTTTTGTTTTGTTTTTATTTTTTGACAGAGTCTCGGTCTGTTGCCTAAGCTGGAGTGCAGTGGTGCAATCTCTGCTCACTGCAACCTCCGCCTCCTGGTTCAAGCAATTCTTATGCCTCAGCCTCCCGAGTACCTGGGGTTATAGGCATAAGCCACTGCGCCTGGCTAATTTTTGGATTTTTAGTAGAGACAGAGTTTTGCCATGTTGGCCAGATTGGTCTTGAACTCCTGGCCTTAAGCAATCCGCCCTCCTCAGCCTCCCAAAGTGCTGGGATTACAGGTGTGAGCCACTGCTCCTGGCTAAGATCCCATCTCTATTTAAATAAAAAAAGAAAATTCAGAATCTATGGAACACAGAACACCAAAGGCCAGTTATTTACCTCTCTGAGGTAATCTGTGTAAACAATTTGATATATATCCTTTCAAGTTCATACTTGCTATGCATACATATATATACACACATACATTGACATATTCCCCCTTCCCTGCTGTCTTGCTATTAGTCTTCTTTTTTTTGTAGAAATTGGACCAACTCTATGTTCTTTGCTGGCCCGTATTTCTCCTATTCAGTGATGTGTTATGAATATCTGTTTAAGTCAATGTATGCAACTCTTTAATATCATTTTAAAAGGTTACGACATAGGATCATATGAAAGCATTAGAATTTATTCCAACAGTTCCCTTTTGCACATTTAATAATTTCCATTGATTTGCCAGGAAGAACATTCTCGTGTCATGGCTAAATCCTTTTGTATGGACATCCTTAATTATTCCCTTAAGATAAACTTTTAAATAAAGTTGCTAGATTAGTCTCGTTTCTTAAGTTCCTTTTTGGTAGTTTATATGTAACACTGTAGTTTTATATGTACTTACAAATACCTATAGTGCCAGTAGAAAATGGGATAAAATTAAACTCTTTCACATATGCCAAATATATTTTGATTTAGCGCTTTATTAAGTGCATGATTACAGTCTCTGTATCTTTTGATTTACCTTTCTATCTTTACAATTTTCAGCCGAGACACTTAGCGGTCACACAATAAATTAAGGTTTTCTTTTTTTAATAATCTCCATCTTTCTAAATATGGTGAGTCACAGTCAGCTATTTTTGGATTGTTGAAAGCTGTGACTGTTCTAAATCGGAGCCCAGAAATCATGCCACTTACCAAATATGCTTTGTCTTCCAACATCAGAGTGTCTGGTAGAAGGTGACTGTTCTTGGAATTTAAAAAATCTGAACAGGACAAGACAAGAATCTGGACACTTTTTCTGTTTCTGATAATATGATTGAGTAGGTAGACATGCTGGATAATCCTTGCAAAGACATACTTGAACTTCCCCAAAAAAAAAAATAAAATCCAGAATCTCTAAGAATGAAGATGGAGTGAAAATCAGAAGGGCTGCTGAGAGAATAATGGGGAAGCAGCCCCAGTTATCAAGGGACATGTCCATGTGTTCAATAGAAAGTTTCAGATGTAAAAAAAAGTTGAGAAAAATAATATATATATTATATATAATAAATGATATAATTGCCCTACATATACACATCATCAACAATTTTTCATTCATGGTATGGACAGTTTTTTTTTTTTGGTTGTTTTTTGTTTGTTTGTTTGTTTTTAAAGGTGGGATTTTGCTGTGGTTGCCCAGGCTGGAGTGCAGTGGCATGATCTTGGCTCACTGCAACTTCCACCTCCCAGGTTCAAGCGATTCTCCTGCCTCAGCTTCCCGAGTAGCTGGGATTACAGGCACCCGGCACCACATCCGGCTAATTGTTGTATTTTTAGTAGAGATGGTGTTTCACCACGTTGGCCAGGCTGGTCTTGAACTCCTGACCTCAGGTGATCCACCTGCCTCGGTCTCCCAAAGTGCTGAGACTACAGGCGTGAGCCACCACACCTGGCCACAGCCAGTTTTGTTTCATTTATATTCCCACTTCATTTATATACATTCCTTCTTCCTCTGAATTATTTTGAAGTAAAACCTATACATCCTATCATTTTTAATTACCTTATATGTATCTGTAGAAGACAAGGAATTCTTAAAAATAAATATATTCACAATGCCATTAAATATCAAAAAATTAATATTCTGAAAATAGCCACAAATCCAGAGTTGACATTTTGTTGACTTTCTCATAGGTGATTTTTTTTCTAGTTTATCTATTTCAATCAGATAACTGTTTGCTCATATTTACATTCCTTACTGAACAATGTCTAAACTTAAACTGACATAAAATGGAGATGATCTTCTAACCAGATGCTTAGTGTAAGAAAAAACTTCAAACTGCAAGAGGAGTCCCTCCAAATACAGAAAGGATCAGTATTTTAAGAGGTATGTTAACTAAAATGTGGCAATGTAAGGAGCAAAGCAGGAAGAACCTTTAAGTCCTCAACTTACAAGTCAATTTCCTAGTCAGTTTCCCTGGTCCTTCCACAACAACCTCCCCCATCTGTTTTCTCTACAATGGAGGTAACAATAGTAGCTATTCCAGAGCAGGAAAAGGCTTAGAGCAGTGCTAGAAGAGGGTCGTGGCTATATAAAGTTTAGCTATTTGTATATTGTAACAAACCTACAACTTTTTTTTTTTTGTCAATAATACATTTCTTTTGGAAAAGTGGCACCCTCCTGTGGGGGACACCTGCAGTTCCACTAAGCGAACATCGGTGTCTGCTAACCTTTGCCTCTTTGTCTCTCAATAATATACTGTCAAGCTGTTCCTTGATTTAGCACTTTTGTATACTTTTTTTTTTCCTCTCCCGTTTCCTGAGACACAGTCCCTCTCTGTTGCTCTGTCTGGACTGCAGCAGCGCCATCATGGCTCACTGCCACCTCCACCCCCGGGCTCAAGCAATCCTCCTAGGTCAGCCTTGGGAGCAGCTGGGACTACCTGTGGGGCGGCTAATCTTTGTGGTTTTTGTTTTGTTTTTCCGTTATGGGACCGGGTTTCGGGCCAGGCGCAGTGACTCACGCCTGCAATCCCAGCACCCCGGGAGGCCGAGGCCGGCGGATTACCTGAGGGAGGAGCTCCAGACCACCCCGACCAACATGGAGAAACCCTGTCTCTACCAAAAAAAATAAAAACTAAACAACTAATGGGGTATGGTGGCACATGCCTGCAATCCCAGCCACTCAGGAGGCACCATTTATTAATCTTTTTGACATCAGATGCTCAGTGGCTCACACCTGTAATCCCAGCACTTTGGGAGGCCAAGGCAGGTGAATCGCTTGAGCCGAGGAGTTCAAGACCAGCCTGGCCAACGAGGTGAAACCACGTCTCTGTTGAAAATACAAAAATTAGCCGGGCATGGTGGCACACACCTGTAATCCCAGCTACTCAGGAGGCTGAGACAGGAGAATCGCTTGAACCCAGGAGGTGGAGGTTGCAGTGAGCCGAGATCACAGCATTCCACTCCAGCCTGGACAACAGAGTGAGACTCTGTCTCAAAATTAAAAAAAAAAAAAAAAATTAACCAGCCATGGTACCACACACCTGTAGTCCCAGCTACTCTGGGGCTGGTGGGGGAGGACTATTTGAGCCCAGGAGGTCGAGGCTTTAGTGAGTTTGATCATGCCACTACACTCTAGCCTGGGCGGCAGAGTGAGTTCTTGTCTCAAAACAAAACAAAAATAGTTTCCAGCCAGGCGCGGTGGTTCACGCCTGAAATCTCAACACTTTGGGAGTCCAAGGTGGCGCATCATCTGAGGTCAGGAGTTCCAGACCAGCCTGGCCAACGTGGTGAAACCCCATCTCTACTAAAAATACAAAAATTAGCTGGGCATGGTGGCTCATGCCTGTAATCCCAGCTACTCAGGAGGCTGAGACAGGAGAACCGCTTGAACCCAGGAGGCGGAGGTTGCAGTGAGCCAAGATCGCACCATTGCATTGCAGCCTGGGGCAACACAGTGAGACTCTGTCTCAAAAAAGAAAAAAAAAAAGCTAGGCGTGAGAAGTGCCTTGATTTTGTATTTTCAATCTGCCAATACTTGCACAGGCTCTGGCTGCAAAACTTTTGCCGGTCAAACATTCGCATTTGAGAAACCACGTCCCTGCTGAGAGAGAGATCTAGACACAGCCTTAACTACATCATCAGTAGACACATGACTGGTTTTTTTTTGTTTGTTTGTTTGTTTGTTTGTTTGTTTTGAGACGGAGTCTCGCTCTGTCGCCCAGGCTGGAGTGCAGTGGCGTGATCTCAGCTCACTGCAACCTCCACCTCCTGGATTCACGCCATTCTCCTGCCTCAGCCTCCCGAGTAGCTGGGACTACAGGCGCCCGCCACCACGGCCGGCTAATTTTTTGTATTTTTTAGCAGAGACGGAGTTTCACCGTATTAGCCAGGATGGTCTGGATCTCCTGACCTCGTGATCCGCCTGCCTCGGCCTCCCAGAGTGCTGGGATTACAGGCGTGAGCCACCGCGCCCAGCGACATATGACTGTTTTTAACCAGAGGGAGGAAAATGGCTTTCAGATGGTTGTGTAGCTGGTTTTAACAGCCTTCAGCAGCAACACTGGCAGCCTCCGACCTCTCAGACCGAGTAAGCCAAGCGAAGCCTGTATGCGCACGCTTGCAGCTCAGCGCCCGCGGGGACTCCGGAAGCCTCTCCCAAGTGGCGCGGTCCGCAAGGGGCGGCTACAGCTTGGGCGCAGGCGCCGCTGGCTCACCGGTTCTCTTGGGCTCCCCTGGGACGCCGTAGGATCGCAGGCGCGCAGCCCTCCCGGCCGCTCTGGCCGCCCTGCTCCTCCTTTGAAGAAAGATAGGGCCGCTGGCAGGGGCCCTCCGCAGCCACCGGGGATGGGGCTGAGGCCAGTTTTTGTTTTTAGTGCAGCCGCCGCCAGGCCGACCGCCGGGCTTGGCTGCAGCCACGGCGACACTGGCCCGAGTTCTGCGAGGCTGGGGGTGCTGGCGGGCTTGGAGGTTGCCTGGCAGCTGCTGCCTGCAAAAAGAAAAACAAACAAAAAAGCAGCTGCAGCTTGGGCGCCCAGGGCTAGCGGGGCATGGCCTGGGCAGTCTTGGGATTGCGAGCGCGCGCGGCCTGAGAGTCCGTACCCTTCGCCGTGCCTCCTGCCCTCCTCCTCTGCCGGACCTCAGAACTGCTGGCCAGGCCGTCCGAGGGAGTCCGGACCCCACTCCGCAGCCTACAGAGATGGGGTTGAGCGGCAGGTTCTCAGTTCTCGCCCCTCTGCAGCCGCCGCCGGGCAGACCGCCTGGCTTGGCCGCAGCCACGGTGACATTTGGCCCTGGTTCTGCGATGCTGGGAGCGCGAGCGAGCTTGGGAGTTGCCAGGCAGCTACTGCTTGCAGGCGGAGGGCGGCTACAGCTTGGGTGTCCAGGCAGTGGAACATGGCCTGGGCGGCCTCTGGATCGCGAGTACACCGAGCCTGAGAGCCCGCCAGGCCCTGCCCCCGCCTCTGCCAGAGCTCAGGACCGCTGGCCAGGGGCCCTCCGCAGCCACCGGGGATGGGATTAAGTGGCAGGTTCTCGGCCCTGTGTAGCCGCCATCGGGCAGACCATCTGGCTTGGCTCTAGCCACCGGGACATCTGTCCCCGGTTCTGAGATGTTACGAGTGCAGGCGGGCTTAGAGGTTCCCCAGAGGCTGCTGCCTGCACACAGAGGGTGGCTGCAGCTTGGGTGCCCAGGCGGGCTGGAGGGGCCTGGCCCGGGAGGCCTGCGGATCGCCAGGGCGCCCAGGCTGAGAAGCCCCAAGCCGCGCATCCCGCCCGGCTCTTCCACCACAGGGAGACAGGAGCTGCTGGCATGGGGACTCCGCAGTCACCTGTGATGGCTTTGAGCGGCAGGTTCTCAGTTCTCACTCCTGTGCAGCCGCCGGGACATCTGACCCCGGTTCTGCGACGCTGGCAGCGCGACCGGGCTCGGGAGTTGACAGGCGGCTGCTACCTGCACACACAGGGCAGAGGGCAGCTGCACCTTGGCCTGGGCAGCCTCCGAAATGCGTGCGTGCCAGGCCTGAGGGCCCCCCTGGTGGTGCCACCCGCCCCGCTCCTCCTCTGCCGGAGCCTGGAGCAGCTGGAATGGCCACTCTGCAGTCACTAGGGTTATGGTTAAGTATTCTTATCCCATGCATGCACACAAAAAAGGTAACTATTATGCGAGGTAATTAATATGTTAATTGACTTCATTTTGGTAATCATTTCAAAATGCGCATGTAGATAGAAACATCACATTGTAAACTTTGAATATGTACAATATTTATTTCTCAAATATACCTCAGTAAAGCTGAAAAAAAATGAACAGGATTGAAAGGATAAGCACACAGTTCTATAATAGTAGTTGGACACTTCAATACCTCATTTTAATTAATGGATAGAAAAACCAGACAGAAGCTTCATGAGAAATAGAAGACTTGAACAACAGTATAAGCCATTTAGAGCTAATACACATATACAGAACAGTCCACCCAAAAACAGCAGAATATACATTCCTTTTAAGTGGATATGGAACTTTCTCTAGGATAGGTCATATCTTCGTCCACAAAAATATGTCCTAATCATTTACAAAAGTTTTAAATCATACAAAATATAATTTACAACCACAATGGAGGAAACATAAATAAAAAATGAAACCTGAAAAATTCACAAATATGTAGAAATTAAACAATACACTCTTAAACTACCAGTGAAAGAATAAATCATAAGTGAAATTATAAAGTATCTTAAGACAAATAAAAACAAAACATACCAAAACTTAGTGACTGCAGTGAAAGTAGAGTTTGAAGGAAAATGTATGGACATAAACAACTACATTTAAAAAAAGCTCAAATCAGTAACCTCACTCTACACCTAAAAGGCAGTATAAAAACCAGAGAAAACTAAATCTGAAGCTAGCAGAAGTAAAGAAATAATAAAGATTAGAGCATAAATCAATAAAATAGAAGGTTGGAAAGCAGTAGAAGAAATAAACGTAGCTAAAAGTTGGTTCTTTGAAAAGAGTAATCTCACCTCAGTAGCCTAAGATTCTTCTTTAGGAACGTAGAGAAAGAACAACAACTTAAATCTAAGGAACTAAAGAAAGGAGCTAATAACAATTAGGGCAGAAATAAGTGAAATTCAAAACCAAAGAGAGAAAAAGGGAAAGAGAAGAGAGACTACAGATTACTAACAGCAGGACTGAAAGACAAGCTATCAATACACACTATACCATAAATAAGTAAAGCTAAAAATAATTTTATGCACACAAATCTAATAGATGAGATGAAAAAAATAAATTCCTCTAGAGACACAACACATACTACCAAGTCTCACTGAAGAAGAAACAGGTAACAAATAGTCCTGTATTAATTAAGAAATTGCATTTGTAAATAAAACCTACCAAAAAATCTAGTCACATGTTCTTTCACTACTGATTTCTATCAAATATTTGAAGGATAAATAATTTTGACTGTACACAATCTTTTAGAGAAAATAGATGAGATGGGAGCACTCCCAACTCATTTTATAAGGCCAGCATTACAATAACACCAAAACCAAAAAATGATATGGAGAGAAAAGAAGACTATAGACAAATATCAGTCATGGACATATATGAAAAAATATCAACAAAATATTGTGACATCAAATTGAACATCTCCCCATGTAGGATGATTCATTATGTCCAATAAAAACAAGGCTGATTCACTATTAAAATCCAATCCAAGTAATCTGCTATAGAATATTTTTAAAATATTCTTCTCAAGAGATGCAGGAAGAGCATTCGATGAAATCCAACATCTATTTCTGACCAAAACTCATACAATTAGGAATAAAAGAACTTAGGATATATGTTTATATCTGTATACTATATGGTGATGACTGAATGATTTTTCCTTAAGACTGGGGACAGGTCCTATTCAATATTGTATTAGAAAATTTGCAAAGTGCAATAAGACAGGAATAAGAAATAAATAACATACATATTGCAAAGGAAGAAGTAAAACTGCCTCTATTTGCTGATAAAACTAATCTTTATATACACAGTCTACAGTATTTATGAAAAGCTTCTAAAACAAATACGTGAAATTAAGTGTTTTATTATCAAAGGTCAATATAGAATGTCAATAATTTTCCTATGTGTGAGTAATTAACAGTTGAAAAAATTAAATTACTATTTAAAATAGAAGCAAAAATTAAGTGCTTAGGTATTAATGTAACAATAGAAGTGCAGGATCTGTATGCTGAAAACTACAAAATATAAATGCAATAAATAGAAAATTTAAAAAGAGGGGAATGAAATATTTATGAATTCAGAGTCTCAATATAGTTAAGATGCCAGTCTTTTCCATTTCTGCTTGTAGAGTTCCTTCATTAACAATGAAAATTCCTGTAAGTTTTTTTTTTTTTGTAGATATCACCAAGGAGATTCTAAAATTTACATGGAAAACAAAATAACTAGAATTGTCAAAACACTTCTGAAAAAAAGTTAGAGGACATAAACTACTGATTACAAGGCTTACTATTATGCTACAGTTCTCAAAATATTGTGGTTTTGTTAAAATATTGTTAAAACACTAGATACGTAGACCAATGGAATGAATACAGACCCCAGAAATAGACCCACACAAATATATTCAACTGCATTTTGAAAAAGATGCAGAGGAAAAGGGGAAAGTATAATCTATTCTGTAAATGGGGATGTAATAATGGGATCTCCCCATGTAAAAAAAAAATGAAACTTAATGCATATTTTACACCTTTTACAAAAGTGGACTGAAATAGACCATATAAAAGTGTAAAGTATACAGCAATAAAATACTATCATAAAACAGGGGAAATTAGGTATGACTTTGGGGTCATTGATGAGTTTTTAGATAAAACACCATACACATGATCCATAAAAGAAAAAATGAAAAAGCAGACTTTGTTATATCTAAAAATGCTCATTCTGTGAAAGAAGCATTACAAGAGCAAAAAGCTAAAACAATCAGGGAAAAATATTAAGTCACTGTATTAGTCTGTTCTGCTGCTGCTATAAAGAACTGCCTGAGGCTGGGTAATTTACCAGGAAAGAGGTTTAATTGACTCACAGTTCCATGAGGCTGGCAAAGCCTCAGGAAACTTACAATCATGGCAGAAGGCAAACAAACATGTTGTTCTTCACATGGTGGCAGGAGAGAGAAGTGCTTAGCAAAGGAAGAAAAGCCCTATATAAAACCATCAGATTTTATGAGAACTCACTCACTATCTGAGAACAGCAGCATGGGGGTAACCTGCCTCCATGATTCTACTACCTTCTGCCAGGTCCCTCCCACAACACATAGGGATTATGAGAACTACAATTCAAAATGAGATTTGGGTGGGGACACAGTCAGACCATATCAGTCACGTATCTTATACAAGCTTTTATCCAAAATGAATAAAGAACCCTTAAAACTCAACAATACAAAACAAACAATCCAATTTAAAACAAGCAAAAATCTTGAGCACGTACATCTCAAAAGAAGACAGACATATGGCAAATAAGCATATGAAAACATGTTTATTGTTATTAATAAGGGAATGCAAAACATAACTACAATGGGATACTACTACATGCCATTAGAATAGAAATAAAAAATTAAAATATCAAATGCTCCTGAAGATGTGTAGCAACAAAGATTCTCTTTCATTACTGTTGGGAATGTAAAATGACATGGTCACTTTAGGAGATAATTTGGCAGCTTTTTATAAAGTAAAACATATGTCCAGTGTGAGGTTCAGCCATTCCACTCCTATGTATTTATCAATGTGTAATGAAAACAAATTCACATAAAAGCCCGTAGTCTAGGCAAATGTTTTAGCAGCTTTACTCATAATCTCCAAAACCTGGAAACAACCAAGACATCTTTCTTTTTTTTTTTTTCTTTTTTGAGACGGAGTCTCGCACTGTCACCCAGGCTGGAGTGCAATGTCACGATCTTGGCTCACTGCAACCTCCGCCTCCCAGGTTCAAGGAATTCTTCTGCCTCAGCTTCCCAAGTAGCTGGGAATACAGGCACCCACCACCATGCCTGGCTAATTTTTTGTATTTTTAATAGAGACAGGGTTTCACTATGTTGGCCAGGCTGGTCTCGAACTCCTGACCTCATGATCTGCCTGCCTTGGCCTCCCAAAGTGCTGGGATTATAGGCATGAGCCACCGCACCCAGCCTAACCAACACATCTTACAACAGGTGAACAGATAGACTATTGCATCAATACCATCAACTGCTATTCAGCAATACAAAGGAACAGACTATTCACTTACACAACAGTACAGATGAACTTACATGTGTTTTGCTGTGTGAAAGAAGTCAGCCCCAAATGTCTACATATTGTATGATTTCATTCGTATAACATTCCGGAGAAGGCAAAATTATAGGTCAAGAAAACAGATCAGAGTTTGCCCACAATTGGGAGAAAGGGAAGGGTTGATCACAAAGGCATCACGCACAGAATTTTAGGGTGATGCGGCTGTTCTGTGCAGTGCTGGAGGGTGGACACGTGTCTCTATGGTTTCTCAAACCCTACCAAATGCTACACTACAAAACCTCTTTCTTATTTTTTGCAAAATAAAAATAATAATAAAAAAATCCACCAGGAAGTCAGAGGATTCCAAGAGGAAAAAGAAACTGATCAAAGACACTTTGGAAAATGGTATTTTGATTGGATACTCTAAGGTTAAGACCAAACAAGCTGCATAGAAACACTCCACTTTGGTTGGTAATTTTGTTTATCACAGGGGCAAATGATAATTTTGACACCAGGCTAGAAAAAATAAGTAAGTAAGTTGCAGATAATGTGAGCTAGAGTTTTTACTGTTATGAAATGACTTTTTCTTGTAGTGTTGAGAATGTTTCTTTTTTTTTTCCCAATCATGTGTTAATTCTCCCCAGGATTCTCACCAACCTATTCAAGTATATTTTAAAATACTTATGATTTTAAGACAAAAACACATGTGTTTTCAGCCCAGTTGGAGAAGCCTCATTACTATCACATCCTTTGTGTTCTAAATGAAAGTCTGCACATAAAACAACAAAGGAGCATGGGAAGTGTTGGAAAAATATAATAAGGAAGACAGACTCCCTGGGGAATGACACAGTGGTATGTTCCTTGGGTCTCCTGTTCTTCTCATCTGCCCTGGAGAGAGTGCTGCAGAAGCCTCCAACCAGAAACCACACCCAACAAAACCAAACCTAATAAAACCCCAGCTGTCTCAGCCAAAGAACCTGGAAAATAATGGCCTAGCAAGGAATACCCACCTGAGTGTAGCCAAACATCAATGGAAACCCCCCCTGCGAACACCATAGTTCAGTGAAATCAAGTGTGGAGCTGATGATCCACTTCACTTACACAGAGTGGAAGGAATCAGCAGTGCTCTGATTCCCTTGCCGGATGGTGTCAGTGGGGCCAAGAAGGGAGATAAATCTTCTGTCTCCCACATTGCAAAAGAAGGTGGCATTCTGGTATTTCCATTTTTTTTTTTTTTTTTTGAGACGGAGTCTCGCTCTGTCGCCCAGCCTGGAGTGCAGTGGCGCGATCTCAGCTCACTGCAAGTTCCACCTCCCGGGTTCACGCCATTCTCCTGCCTCAGTGTCCCGAGTATCTGGGACCACAGGCGCCCGCCACCACACCCGGCTAATGTTTTTGTATTTTTAGTAGAGACGGGGTTTCACCGTGTTAGCCAGGATGGTCTCGATCTCCTGACCTCGTGATCCACCTGCCTCAGCCTCCCAAAGTGCTGGGATTACAGGCCTGAGCCACTGCGCCCGGCCTACAGTTATCTTAAATATAAATTGTGTACATGTGTCAATTAAAATACAAGGAATATCAACCTGAACACGGAAACACGATACAAAAATACGTACGTTACTTATCTCAATTGATGCAGAAAGAGCATTTGCCAAAATATAGCACAGTTTTATGATAAAAACTTTCAGAAACCTAGAAATACAAGGAAACTTCCTGAACTTTATCAAGAGTATTTATCAAAAACAAACAGCTATGTCATGCTTAATGATGAAAGAATGAATGGTTTTCCCCTCAGGGTGGAAACAAGGCAGAGACACCTGCTCTCAACAATGCTATTTGACAGAGCACCGAAAGTTCTAGTCGGCACAATTGGGCAAGAAACAAGGCATACTGATTGAAAAAAAAGAGAAAGAAGGAAAGTGGCCTCTATTGCAGATTACACGATTGTCTTTGTAAAGTCTCAGAGAAACTAAAAAAAGTCTTGTAGAAATAATATTTAGCAAGTTCACAGGATAAATGATCCATCCTCCAAAATTCATCATATTTCTATGAACTAAAAATGAATGTGTGGAAACTGAATATACCTTTACAATTGCTCTAAAGAAAATACTTAGGCATAAATCTGACAAGACATGCAGAATCAAGATGGCAAAAATTACAAAATGTGCATGAATTGAGAGAAGAACTAAAATTCAAACATACCTTATTAATGGTTTGGAAGACTCACGATAGCAAATATGTCAACTCTCTTCAAATTGATGGGTAGACTTAATGACAGTCATATCAAAACACCAGCTACATATTTTTATGCATATAGATAAACCTATTTTAAGTTTATATGAAAAGGCACATGATACTGGTGGAGAGATGGACACATAGGTCAGCAGAACAGAATGAAGAACTCAGAAATTGACACAAGTAAATATGCCCAACTCATTTCTCATTTTTGACAATGGTACAAAAGTAATTGAAAGAGAAAGAATAGTCTTTTTAACAAATGTTACTGGAGAAAATAAACACAGGCTCAAAATCTCAGTGTAAACCTTGCACTTTATACACTAATTAACTAGAAATGGTTTGCAAACTTAAATATAAAAGGTTGTACTATAAACCTTTTAGGAAAAGAGTTCTAAAGAAGTTATTGGGATCTAGGGCTAGATAAAAGTCCTTTGTTCTTATTTACATGTATCTTTTAATTTTTTTTTATTTTCAGTAAAAGATCAATGTGTACGTGTACTTATTCTAAAAAAGAAAAAATGTTCAATGTGCTCTTCCAGGTTAATAGACAAATCAAATAGACTCACCTTTCTTTATGAACCCATAGTGTATCAGTGATCCAGCCATTATTGTTTTCCTGAGAGGAAAATTCTCTTTATGCTCATCACACTTTTGGAGCATTGAACCAGAGGGCCTAACGTGAGGTGAACACGCTGCCAGTGGAGGTGAGCAGGAAGGAAATTTCCAAACCCAAGAACTGACAGAAACTGCTGGAGAGAGAAAGTTACTTGGGCAAGTCTAGAGACCAATTGCGTTGTGCCCTTCTCTGTAGAATAATAAAAACGGAGTATTCAAGAAAAAAAATAGGACAAGTGATACTAACCAAATGATGTTACAACACACCCATGTCTGTATGTGTATACAGACCTATGCACATATACACACATAGATATGTGTAATATGTGTGTATTTATAACTGAGGTTAAACTGTTAGGCAATAAGAATGCAGTCCTATTTTTCTACCCTCTCTTTTCTAACATCTTTCAAACAGATGATGTTTTGTAAGATTTTCAATTATTTTCAATAATTAAAAAAATTTCAAACAGAACAAATATGCATGCTGAATTATTTCTCAATCCCCTGTTTTACATGTGGCTTTAAGTACGTGACCTGTTATATAGATATTTCAGCATCTTAGATGTTAAAGTAAACACATAGCTGCTCCTCATTTTTGGAAGGGTGTATTTACAATATATGTGTCTGATGCAAGTTGTATATTTAAATTACTTAAAAATACATCTTCTTTGGTAAGAGTTTTTAAAAATAAATTTGTGGCACATTAGAATGTTTTTAAGAAAAATTGCTTTTTAATTTGTATTATCTAAACTTCAGAATTTTACTCTGAAGTATTTCAAAACTTACAAGAATATTCATATTTGATCTATAAAATAAGTAACTTAGATGGAATAATTTGAATTTGGAAATTTCTTTATACCACTAAATTTGAAGTATCAATGCCACATTTATTTTTACAAATTTTCCTTGAAACATTATATTGGCTACTGGAAAGAGCTAATACCCTTTATGAAAATATGATTTTAGTGATGCAACTTATATATGAGGTAGATTAGGAAGCTTTACTTCCTGTGCCCATTAACTAAGAAGATTTTATGAAACAATTTTTAACAGGGGCCACAGTCAGTACCGGGAGTGTGGTCAGGTGGTCAGGCACGCCTCCCTCCTCATTGGGCCCACCAGAAGATTTCAGGGTTCTAGGAGAAACATACCCAGGCATGCAGAGATTGTCACAAGGGAGGAAGGGCCAGGGTGGGGAACCCAGCACAGGGGGCCTGCCCTCACAGGGGAGTCGGACAAGGTTTTCTGAGGAAGCTGTGTCCAAGCCGAGATCCTTCCCGCTCCATGTGCTCCAGCACAAGGCCTGCAGGAGGAGCCCTGTGAGCAAGGCCAACCTAGACCAGCCGGGTGGATTCCCTTGGCATTGAGGGGGAGCATGGCCTGAGGAGCTGAGCGCGGTCTCCGAAGGACGGCATCAGAGGAACTCTCACCGTTTCTATCATGAACACTTACAGTTTGACATCAGCATGGGAGTTGTGATTGGGTGATCTTGGGAAGGGTCTGTCAGCGGGTCGGGGGGTCGCTCTAAGTTGGACGCTGTCTGATAGAGGAGGCTTTTCTATTGTTCGGCATCTCATATCTCAAGGAATCTTATCTAGAAGAGGGCAGAGGGCCGCCAGGAGAAAGCCGCTGCTGGTAATGAGGAAGATGCTGCTCATTTTCACCAAGTGCAGTGCTAGGGATTTTAGCGGGTGGCAAAGTGACCTTGATATCTTTTCTCTGTGCAGGTCTCTGTTAGAGTCACTGTGAGTGTCTCTGTGGGGATCTCTGTGTTGGTTTTGAAGGGTCTCCGTGTGCGTCTCTGTCAGAGGTTTCTGTGGGGGGGTCCCTCTGGGGGGGTCTTCATGGGGGGGGTCTCAGTGTTGGGGTCTCTGGGGGTCACTGTGGGGAATCTCTGAAATCTCAATGAATGTGGGGTCTTTGTGGGAATCTTTGCGTGTTGGGGTCTACTGGGGGTCCCTGTGGGGTTCCTCTGCTGCAGGTCACAGGATCCTGGGTCCCATAGATGTTGGGCCCACACTGGAGCTGCCCAGGTCACCACCCCAGACAGGACTTGGCTCCAACAGTAGCCTGGACACCCAAAGTGACACCAGGGCGTGTTCGAAACAGGTCCCCGGTGTGGGTCCCGCCAGGCCTGGGTACAGACCTGACACCTTGTCCTCAGCCTCCGCAGCCCCTGCAGGTGCAGAGCTCTCCCTGGGCAGAAGGCCCCTGGGCAGAGCCCTCTGAGGAACTGGCTCCTGCCTGCCCTGCCCTTGCTCCTGCCTTCCCTGGGGATGGCCAGGAAGGACCCAGTACCAGGACGAAGGGAGTGCAGGACTGGGCCCTGTGGGGACTGTCCCTGCCAACCATGTGACCAGATTCTCTGAGCCCCAATGTGTCCCTTGCCAGCACCTGGGCCTGGAACCATAGATGTGCTTTGTAACCCAGGCCAGCCCTTGCCTTCTGGGTCCCCCTCCCCTGGCAGTGGCACTGACCACTTTTGCTTGTAATGGTCACCAGACTGCAAGGACCCTGGTTACAGCTGTGGGCAGCTTGTGGATCCTGCACTTGCAAACTTATGCTCGTCTTCCCTGATTCTTCTCCCACCTCTCACCCTGGGCCCCAAGGTCTCCTCCTGTGATTCCTGACCACAGAGTCCTTCCAGAGGGGCAGGCAGCAGCCCTAGGTGCCTCCTGAAACAGACACCCCACACTAGTGGGCTGGGAGACTGCCCTGGAGAGTGAGGCAGGGGACACCAGACATGAACCCAGGGGTGTTATCAAGCCTGAGCCAAGTGCTGGAGGGGCCCAGGTCCATCCCAGATCCGGAACTCAGCAGTCAGGAAAGGGTCTGGGGAGGGTGTCATCTCTTCCCCACCAGGAGATCCCAGAAAGAGCAGTCCCCCCTCTGACCCAGGGCCAGCACAAGACACCCCCTACATTCCCAGGCTACTGTGAGGCAGGGAGGCTGCTGGGATCCATCACTCCTCCAGCCTGAGGGGAGCCTACCACCCCCCAGTCCGTGACGCCCCTGTAGACCCATCCCCTACAGCAGCACAGAAGTCGCCTTAGAACAGGGAATGCAGTGAGCCAGAGCCCGGGTGGGATCTCCGTAAGGTTTGCTGTCCTTACATATCCTGAAGGCTCTGGGTCATGATCCAGTTTGGAAACCAGACACAGTGTGGGGACAGGGAGAAAAGGGGGTCCTCCAGGTCCCTGTCAGCTTCCTCTAGGCCCAGCCATTCTGGAAGCCGCACTCAGGAGGAGCTGACACTGAGCCCTTGCCTGCAGCCTAGCATGGAACAGACAGAAGCCACCACCTCTGCAGGGAAAACAGGTATATTGGGAACTTCTCCGTGGAAGTCAGGAACACATGGGGACTGTTGTCACCCACGCAGGACAGGTTTGTTGTGTAGGCGTCCAGTGTTATTTGGATAGAACCCCCTGTCTCCTCCAGGAGAGGTGTGGGAAGCCTGGTCTGGTTCAGGAGGCAAGACACCTCTGTGTAGACCTCAGTTCCTGCAGCTGTGGATGGGGCTGCCCGAGGTGCTTGCCACTCATGGCCTGTGGTGGTGGGGACCAGCTGGGGACACAAGCTCCCTGGGAGGTGGGGGCCCAACTGCTGTCTCTGTCTCTGATGCCCTTGTTTTTGACAGGACATTTGTGGCCCTTGGGGGTGGCTTTGGGGCTGCAGACCAGCCCCATCTCTCTGCTATGTTCCTGGTAGTAGTGACTCCTGTGGCAGCAGGAAGCCACATTCTCCTGGGCGTGGAGGTCGCCTTTGTGGCGACTGACCTCTGAGGGACCACGTCCCTGCTGAATCCCCAGTTTGTCCACCAGGATTTGCCCCATAACTCTGATGATGGTCTGGGCTTCATCAGCCATGCTGTCCATAAACAACCTTGCTGGGCCAGACCCCCAGCTCTGGACAGCATCTGCCCAGGCTTGCCTTTCTGCAGGACGTCTTCCTGCCCTGAGCCCCTCTTCCTGGGATGTAGACCCTGTGGACGGTGACTGATCTTTCTCTGGAAGTTGCTTTCTGGTGGTGCCTGTCCCTTCTCTGGCTGAGGCTGATTGTATTTCCTTTCTTGTTTGTCTCCTATTTCCCTCGTGTGGGCAGGGTGGCTCCTCCCACTGGCTTGGGAGGTCCTGGGTCCTTTGGACCTGTGTCCCTGCTCCCCTGGTCTGGGCCTCCTGTGGGCCTTGCCCTTGTCCAAAGAGCCCAGCATCTTCTGACTCTTCTGTGGGGCCTTCACTTTTGGGCTCCCAGGTTCCTGCTGCCCCAGTCTGTCCCCTCCCTTCCATAGGAGGGCACATGGCCCCTGGGAAGCTGTCGTGTTCCTCCTACTGAGCACACTCTGGGAGGTGGACAGAAGGGCCTAAGTGGGTGGCCTGTATGTGGCTGGGAGCATGTCCACATGGCGGCCTGGAAGGCACAGGCCTGTGGCGCCCTCCTGGAGGAGGATGCTGGAAACACGGCCTGGCAGCTGCTCCTCTGAGTCCACCTGCACTATGAGCGCAATCTCACTGACAACCTGTGCTTTCAGGCACAGCTGCCCTGGATCCTGAGCAACACAGATTGTAGACACTGAGGGGTTACTAGTGGTCCCCAGAGTCCCTGTGCTCCTCAGATCCACCTGAACACTTCCTGATCTTGCCCTCACACTGGCTCCCAAGGTGACTTTCCAATCAGGGGGCTTTTCCTCCTTGGCCTCCAGTGCCTCCAGGGCATCTCTGGCCCTTGCCCACTGGGACCCCATGCTGAGCTCTTGCAGGGCTCTGCTATGACAGGGGTCTCCTGGGGACATGCTCTCAGTCTCAAGCCATGCCTCATTCCCAGCCATTTCTGAACCCACACTCCCCTCGAGTCTGGGTTTCCCGGACCCCAGGACAGTCCCTCTCTGCCAGGTTCTGCCTACAAGGTTGCATATGGGGGACTGAGAAGATGCCCTGCCCTCCTGTCCAGTCAGAGAGGCCTCTGATTGCTCATGGGTGTCAGCTGACTGGGACCCTCTTGGGACCCTCTGGACTTCCTCCTGCTCAGTTGGTGGGGCAGGGACAGGGCCACTCATGGTGGGGGCTGACTTGCTTGTTGTTCTATTGTCTCCTGGACCATTCTGGGGAGGTTTTCCCGACAAAATGGCAACCTTGGCTACAGATTCAGCCAGAGATTCCCAGGAGGCCCAGGGGAGAATGGTGGAGTGTGGGAGGGGTGGAGGCTGAGCCTCCCCTGACTAGACATTTATGGGCTCTAAGGACTGAAGTTCTGGACCCCACCTGTGCCTCACACAGAACTTGAAAAGATGTGCTTCCAGCATCTGCTGGGTGCAGGGATGGAGGAAGGACAGCTCCTGGGAGGTGTTCACGTGGGCTTTCCCACCCCTCCAGGATGTCACCTTTCTCGATTTCCTGTGGGTGTCAGACTTGGGAATGGCATGTTTGGCCATGAATTAGGAGCGATGCACAGACACAGGGATCCAGCCCTCCTTGATCTCCCCCACCTTCCTGTCCAGATGGACCTGTGGCTTGTTTTCCAGATGCTGCTTTTCTGGGTCCCTGGGTGCAGAACTTACTGATTGGTACTTCCAGGGCCTCCTGAAATCACCTTCTGCTTCCTCCTTGTCTTTCTCCAGAACCTTCACTGAAGTCCTTCCTGAGCCTTGATCCTGGTTCTGGCTCTAGTTTGGACCCTAAGCACCCCTTCCCAGAGAACCTTCCAGAGCTCCTGAGCCCTGCTTTCTGCACATCCTTCGTGCCCTTTCCTACAAATTCAGAATCCCGGGAGGGCAAGAGGGCCCCCTGCGTGGCTTCTGCCTGACTCTGGGGCCTCCCTGGGAATTCCCCCTTAGGCTGCAGCAGGTCTCCAGGTGCCTTGAATCTGCTGGGAGGCCACGGGACTGCTCCTGGTGGATGGCACTCCTTCCTTGCCACCGGTGCTCTGGGAGCTCAGGGCTGGTGGCAATCCCGGGAAGGATGGGGGCTGACTTAGGGTTCAGGGAGGCTGGCCTCTCCTGGGGAAGGTGGGAAGTGGGCTGGCTCAGGACAGCCTGAGACTTTTTGAGGAGAGAGGGCAAAACCCTCTTCCACTTTGGTCATTTCTGCAAGGGCCACTCAAGATACTTTTTTCCAGTGGGGATGACAGACTGTGCCCTCTTCTGGGATGTAGGGCAAGATGCTCCACAGACCCTAATCTGGGGTGGAGAAGAGGTTGGGACAGGGGTTGAGATTTGCCCCACTGTGTCTGGATCCCAGCTAGAGGCGGGGGCTGGGACTGGGGCCAGGTTGGAGTGAAAGGTTGGGGCTGGGCCACGTGGTGGGGCTGGGGCCGTGCCTGGGAAAGCTGTGAGGGTGTCTCAACCTCAGTTTCACCTGGAAGGGAAGTGGAGGCTTTATCCGATGGTACAGAGTGCTCATTCTGTGAGGAAATGTTCCTAGAAACCCAGGCCATGGTCACCAGGGACTCGCTATTGAAAGAGGGGAGATCCCAGAAGAGATGGCTGCATTTCTGCTCTAAGTGGTCCCACATGGCCATGGCGTCAGAGACCTGCTGAGGATGGGGCAGCTTCTGTGGTAGGTTTGCCACGTTCCAGAAGGGATTTAGAGTCGTGATGTCCCACTCCTTCCCCAGTGATGTCATCTGCGGGTAGTCTGCCCACCCCCATTCTTTCTCCTGCCACATCTTCATCACTGCTCTCTTGGAGATGAGTCTCCAGCAGCTTCTGCACGTTGGGATGGAAGAATGTGCGGCCACCTGCCTCCATCTGCCTGGGTGTGGGGTCTCCCCAGAAGGAAGCCTCTGGGGGGTGGTTGGGAAGATGCTGTTGCTGGGATTTGCCCTGTGAGCAGGTGGAGAGGCCCCAGGTGGTGGCAGCCTCCCTCCAGCGGGAGAGGTCCCGGATGGGACCGCTGGAGCACCCAAGGCCAGAGATCACCCTGGTTGGAGAAGGTGGCCCCTGGTTGTGTAGAGGGGAGCTCTGGGGGACAGGGCGTATTGTGGAGCCACACTGAAGTCCAGCCAGGCTGTGTTCGGGTGGAGGTGGAGAGGAGGCCACGGGAACATGGGGCTGTGGTGAAGAAGGAAAAGCATATGTGGCCGGACTGCAGGGCATTTTAGGGGAAGCAAGGGCTCTGGAGGCCTGGAGGCACTCAGGGTTGAGCGTGGTCCAAAAGGCTCTGAGAAGGTCATTGTGTCTGGTGACAGGTTGGAGGCCAGAGGAACTGGGGGAGTCCTTGGGGACAAGCTGTCAGGAGATGGATCTTGCATGCATTTCCTATGCGGCTGGTGGGCCTTAGCAGGAGCTGGTTTGTACATATCACCCAGGGCTCTCCACCTAAGGGCAGATGGGAGCCACCCTCCCCAGTGAGCTTTCTCAGGTGGCTGCACAAGGCACAAGCTGCAGCCAGGGGCAGGTGGGGTTGGGAGGTCGGGAGGGCTGGGCACCTGGTGCCCACAGCTCCTCCACCTCCCCCACTGCTGGCTTCACAGAGCTCTGTCTGTGCCTGCCCAGGGCTTCAGTCCACTCCCGCCTCTTCCCAGGACCTCCCCCTCCCAGGTCAACACTGGACCCTGGGGCTGCCTCAGAGGCCCTGGTAGAAAGGACGACATGGAGAGAAGGGGAATCTCATCTTTCCAGAAGGTTGGTCAGGTCCTGAGTCTCCTCCAGCTCCCTCAGGAGGATTCTGCAAGCTGGAAGTAAGGAGACAGAGTTATGGCGGGGAGGGCGGTGCCAGCGAACCTCATGGGAGGCTGAGTGGTGGATGTCTCTTTAGGGGACACCATGGGGAACTAGACCCTGAAGCCCATGCATCTGTGTCCAAGGCCACATGGCCCCAATGGTGACAGCAAGGTGTGCATTGTGCAGAACTTTGTCATTTGCAAAAAGTGCTTCCATGTACAACCCCTCATGGGTGTCACAACCATCTTGTGGGGAGAGTGGATGGGGTGGTCTCTAAGAAGAGTCAGCCATGGCCGAGGAGAACAGCTGTCCACGTGGACCTGGGGTCTCCCTGACCTCCCCCCATATCCTGGCAGGCCTTGGTCCCTTCCCCACAGCGCCCCCTTATGGGCAATACCGGTTCCCGGGCCCATGGCTTCATTCCCACAGGGAATATGAGGAGGCCCCGGGTTCTGATTTCCCTCCCAGGAGCTTCCCTCTCAGGCCTCTGCAAATGATTCCCTCAGGGACAGACGATGCTCAGTCACCTCTGGGGAGTCTCAGGGATTAGTAGGGCCTCACAATTCAGAGCTGGGATCTTCTTCCTGCTCCTGGGCCTCCCCTATCTCTTCCTTTGATGCCGAGAGGCAAGCAAGGGTGAGGGGCTGGGACCAGTTCTCAGTCTCCTCTTCCCAGACCAGCTGCACACACGCAGTGCTCTTGAAGGACACGGCTTTCTGCCTGTAGCTCAGGGAGCTCTGCGTGCGTTTCTTTTACTCATGTTTACCATTGATGAAATGTTTTCTGTTTTCCTTCTTAGGGAAATGCAAGCAGGGGTTTTCTGTGTGACTCCACCCTGGATATCCCCAGTCCCTTCTCCTCCGCTGAAGGCATACCCAGGCTCAGGCCTACAGGCACCTCTGAGCTGCCAGTAGGATTCTGCTTCAGAGGAGGCCAGACGTGAATCCAGGCTCTAGCGGGAGGCTCTCAGGGGTTCAGCACAGCTCCCAGATCACCCCACACAGAGGAGCCTGGACCCCCAGGCACCTGCCTTGGAAAGGGGCTGATGAGCCAGAGCTGGGGCCTGTCCTCCCACAGAGACCTCACCCCTCTCCTGATCTGGTCCTCGCCACTGAGTCCAGTGTTGGGTTTTGCCCTGATGCCTCCCGCGCATGTCACAGATAGTCTGGGAGCTGAGGATGGAATCCTCTGCCCACTCCCACCCCTGCCTGCTCTGCCCTTCCCTAGAGGGATGATGAGATTTCCCATCGCAGGAGAGTCTCTCATTACTTAGGAAAAGTGGAAATGAGGGGAGGAAAAGAAGAGAGAATCTTTCTCTGTGGGGCTGGGCTGAGGGTTCCTTACCTTCCTGCTGCTCCTCACCTTCCTGCTGCTCCTCTTCCTCCCATGCGGGGGTGAGGGTGGGACACTGGGGAGGTAGGGGGCTAATAGGAAGAGGAAGCCCAGGCTCCACACTGAGGTGAGGATGAAATCCACAATCCAGGGAGTGGAGCTGGGGCCCAGCCACGTGGCACTAGGGCTCTTCAGAGGAAAGAGCATTTTTTCCATCTGAAGTGCAATGTTGCCCTCAAGCAACTGAGCCCTGGGCATCGCTTTTGGGACTAGGGACTGGAGCCCAGGCCTGCATCACAGAGCTGGGGCCTCCTCCTCACCAAGGGCTCCTGGGGGCAGGGGAGGGGCAGTGGGAGGAGGAGGCTGAAGCGCAGCCCCTCCTTCAGGTCCCAGTTCCAGTCCCTCCACCCTCCTGGGTCCCCCAGATCTTTCCTTCCCACTCCAGTTGCTCACCCTGTCAGAGACAGCCCTGGGTCCATTTTCTATTCTGTTCCCTGGAACACAGATGTTACCTGGTTTTGTGGAGATCTCTGTGCCAGTCCCTCAATCTCCTGCATCTTTAAATCTAGACTTCTCCCTGGAGTTTCTGTTATTTCTCCAGTTTCTTGCTCTTAGGAACTCATTTGTTTGCAGTTCTAACTTTCCCCCTTAATATGTTCTTGCCCTGCATCAACTCAGACATAGAATTTACATTTTTTGTACTTATTGATCGTTGTGAATTTTGATTACAATTTTCATAGTTTTTTAAAAGTTTAATATTTATTTTTGTGGGCACACAGTAGGTGTATATGTTAATGGGGCACATGAGATACTTTCATACAGGCATGCAGTGTGTAATAATCACAGCATGGTAAATGGGGTGTCCATCACCTCAAGCCTTTTTCCTTTGTGTTACAAACCATCCAATTATACTCCTTATTTTTTAAATGAACAATTAAATTATTATTGACTATAGGCATTCTATTGCTGTCAAATACTACAAATACCCAGTTTTATTCATTCTTTCTAATTACCTTCTTTATCCATTAACCATCCCCGTCTCTCTCCCCCTGTGCCTTCCCAGCCTCTAGTAACCATCCTTCTACTCTGTATCTCCATGAGTTTGACTGTTTAATTTTTAGCTCTCACAAGAGAGAACATGTGATGTTTGTTAGTCTTTCTTTGCCTGATTTCACTTAATGACCTCCAGTTCTATCCATGCTATTGCAAATGATAGGCTCTCATTGTTTTTTTATGGCTGAAGAGCACTCCACTGCTTATATGTACCACCTTTTCTTTATCCTTTCATCTGTTGATGGACACTCACTAGGTTGATTCCTAATCTTGGCTATTGTGAACAGTGCTAGAAGGAACATGGGAGTGCAAGTATCCCTTCAATATACTGATTTCCTTTCTTCTGGGTGTGTACCCAGCAGTGGGATTGCTGGATCATGCGGTAGCTCTAGTTTTAGTTTTTGAGGAACCTCCTAACTGTTCTCCTTAGAAGTTGTACTGACTCACATTTCCACCAACAGTGTATGAGGGTTCCCTTCACATCCTCGCCAGCATTTGCCATTGTCTGTCTTTTGGATGAAAGCCATTTTAACTGGGGCGAGATGAGATCTCCTTGTAGTTTTGATTACCTTTCTCTGATATCATTGATGTTGAGCACCTTTTCATATACCTGTTTGCCATTCATATGTCTTCTTTTGAGAAATGTCTGTTCACATCTTTTGTGTATTTTTTATTATTTTATTTTAACTTCCGGGGTACATGTGCAGGATGTGCAGGTTTGTTACATAGGTAAATGTGTGCCATGGTGGTTTGCTGTACCTATCAACCCATCACATAGGTATTAAGCCCCGTATGCATTAGTTATTTTTCCTGATGCTCTCTCCTGCTTCTGACAGGCCCCACAGTGTGTTGTTCCCCTACCTGTGTGCATGTGTTCCCTTTGGTCAGCTCCCACTTATAAGTGAGAACGTGTGGTGTTTGGTTTTCTGTTCCTGTGTTAGTTTGCTGAGGATAATGGCTTCCAGCTTCATTCATGTCCCTGCAAAGGACATAATCTCATTCTTTTTTATGGCTGCATAATATTCCATGTTGTCTATGCACCACATTTTCTTTATCCAGTCTATCACTGATGGGCATTTGGGTTGATTCCATGTCTTTGCTTCTGTGAATAGTGCTGCAATGAATATATAAGTGCATTCATCTTTATAACAGAATAATTTATATTCTTTGGGTACATACCCAGTAATGGGATTGCTGGGTCAAATAGTATTTCCCATTCTAAATCTTTGAGGAATCGCCACAATGTCTGCCACAATGGTTGAACTAATTTACATTCCTGCCAACAGTGTAAAATTGTTTCTATTTCTCCCCAACCTCACCAGCATCAGTTGTTTCTTGACTTTTTAATAATTGCCATTTTGACTGGCATGTGATGGTATCTCATTGTGGTTTTGATTTCCATTTGTCTAACAATCAGTGATGTTGAGCTTTTTTCCTTATGTTTGTTGGCTGCATCTATGTCTTCTTTTGAGAAGTGTTTGTTCATGTCCTTTGCCCACTTTTTAATGGGGTCTTTTGTTTTCTTCTTGTAAATTTCCTTAAATTCCCTGTAGATTCTGGATATTGGACCTTTGTCAGATGGATACATTGCAAAAATTTTCTCCCATTCTGTAGGTTGTCTGTTCACTCTGATGATAGTTTCTTTGCTGCGTGAAACTCTTTAGTTTAATTAGTTCCCATTTGTCAATTTTTGCTTTTATTACAATTGCTTTTGGCGATTTCAACATAAAATATATGCCCATGACTATGACCTGAATGGTATTGCCTACATTTTTTTCTAGGGTTTTTATAGTTTTGGCTTTTACATTTAAGACTTTACTTTATCTTGAGTTAGTTTTTGTATAGGGTGTAAGGAAAAGATCCAGTTTCAGTTTTCTGTGTATAGCTAGCCAGTTTTCACACCATTTATTAAATAGGAAATCCTTTCCCCATTGCTTGTTTTTGTCAGGTTTGTTGTCTTGCCTAGAGGTTACACACTGAATTACCATTTGGAGATCATCCATTCCCACCTGGTGTGGATCAAAGATAACAGGGGCCAACAGGAGAAAGTTTGAGCCTTGCCAGGTCAACACTGGTGCTGAACAAAGTGACTTGCGTCTGTTTTGCTACATGTATTTTGCTTTGGCTGGGATGGAAAATATTAATTTGATTCCCCATGCAGCCTGTTGAACAGCATCTTGCAAAATTGGGAAGCTTATGCCTATGGTTCCATCAAACAGAAAAGCATAATTTTATTTTGTAATGGAACTTGGCTCCCATAGCTATGTTACACTGAGCAAGGTCATCAAAGCTGCTCTGTTCTTCTGAAAGCTGCAGAGAAAGGGAACCCAGAAACCTGGTATGCTGGCGAAAAAAGGGTAAGAAATTCTTACCAACCAAGTTTCTCATATTTCTCTCTCTCTCCCTGTCTCTCTCCCTCCCTCTCCCTCTGTGTGTTTGTGTGTGTGCGTGTGAATGCAAATGGTAAATATCACTGTTTGTCTTCTCTCCTCTGTTTTCTCTTTTCTACAAATAGAAAAAAGGATTTGTGAGACTAGTCTTAGGCTGTAGCAAATCTGGAGCACTTTGTGCTAAGAATTTATCTTTCTGCTTTGTTCTTTAATGGAGAGAGAGGTATCACAGGAGAGAAGGTGGGCTTAGGACCCCTATAAGCCTGCCTTTCAAGCCAGCCTGGCAGCTGGTCATTTACAAACTTTGCTGGGGGTCCCCAAGACCAGTGCCATATAAAGTTTCCATCTTTTCGTTTTATGCCCTTGAGAGCTTAACCTTGTGACCATGTGGGGATACTTTCTCTTGGTGTCTGCCATTCAGCGGACAGGAATTTGGGGATTCATGTCATAGCACTAAAAATTATCTTGAGCAGGTAGAAGCTTTTGCAAGGTCAAAATTGGCACCTCTAGGCTCCTTCTGGGAAGAGCAACAGAACCTGCTGAATGATGTAGCTCAATAACCAAGGCTTTTGTCTTTTGACAGTGGCTGCCCCAGGTTCAATTCTTGGCTTTGGGAATGATTCCCTTCTTGTTTGTTATTTGTGTAACTGCCATTTTTTGAGGGATTCCCCCCTTTCTATGGATAATTTCTGATTTCCTGTCTTGAATTTTCCTTTCTGTGAACTACCCTGGGGAAATTCTAACTCTTGTTTAAAAAAAACTACTTACCATCTCTTTGAAACACATCATGAGTTCATGGTTAAGTTATAACCTTAGTTAAAACTTATTAATTTCATGTGAGAGGTTACCTGGTATAGAATTCAAAAGCCAGAAATGTGGGGTGTCCTCACTAGAGCCTGGTAATAAGGGATTTTGAAAGTTTTTTTTTTTTTTTTAAACAGCAGAGCTCTATGGTTAAAAGTGGCTTAATTAAAAATAGACATCCAGGGTTGGGTGGGGTAACCCTAGATATCTATTTTCATGCCTGTAATCCCAGTACTTCAGGAGGCCAAAGCAGGAGGATTGCTTCAGCAGGAGTTTGAGACAAGCCTGGAAAACATAGACCACATCTTAAAATTAAATAAATAAATAAATAAAAGTACTCAAACTATATCTATTTAAAAGGCCTTTATCTTTTCCTCTTCTAGATTCATGTCTTTCTGGAATAAGTTCTTTTCTTCTGAATTGATTTTCTCCATTTTTTCTTCTTGCCATGCTTAAAGCACACCTGAGAGAACCTAGATAAATTCTAACAGCCTGGGACTCATAGGGAAAAACAGAGGAGGCATCACAGACCCCATTCTGGGAAAAACCTCCATTTTCCTCATGAAACCCCAGGAGCTGAAAGTTGATAGATCTCCCTCAAAATCTAAGTCTCGGTTCAATTTTCAATTTTACATTATGTTACCTGACTTTTTTTGTTTTTTTTTTTTACTTTTGGGTATATCAGAAATTGCTTCACATTATGGGAGAGCTTTTAGCCATGGTTTATAATAACCAGATAGGAAATACACTATAAGGGACTGCTAATGGCAATTAGGAGGAATACTTGGCTCCTTGCATGCTTGGATCAGAGAAGCACACTCTTGACCACCTAGAAGGTATGAAAACAACCCTATCCCCCACTGAGAGATGAGAATCCCATGGGGGATGGGCTGATTACAAAATGGGCTGATTGGCTTTGGATTGTCTTGCAATAAAATGCAGGGTAGAAGCACTGCACTAGCTTCTTCTGTAGTATTTCCCTCTTTTTGGGGGGAATCCAGGATCCCATATAAAATGGCACCCTTAATTTGGGGGATCTGTTTTTGCCTTCCAGCTGTGCCTGCTTATTAGGCCCTAGAAATTGCATGCTTTCCCAGCCCTATTTTTCAAAGGGCTCCAGCCTGAATCTAGTAATCCCACTAGGAAACTTAAGAACTGGCAAATGAAAAATCTTACAACTACTGGATCTTCTGTCTGTCTATGTATTTATATATGTTTTGTGTGTGATGTTTACATAAAAGCTCTAATTAATTGGTTTAAAGAAAAGTAGGCACTTAAGTCAAATATTTTGTCAGTAAAATTAAAACTAATGCCCTTTAGTTCACCTAACTTTAGTAATCTTTTGGTAATAAAGACAGATTAAAAATTATTGATAAAATAGGCTGGGCACAGTGGCTCACACCTGTAATCCCAGCACTTTGGGAGGCTGAGCTGGGCAGATCATGAGGTCAGGAGATCAAGGCCATCCTGGCTAACACGGTGAAACCCCATATCTACTAAAAATACAAAAAAATTAGCCAGGCGTGGTGGTGAGCACCTGTATTCCCAGCTACTCGGGAGGCTGAGGCAGGAGAATGACGTGAACCCTGGAGGCGGAGCTTGCAGTGAGCTGAGACTGCGCCACTGCACTTCAGCCCGGGTGACAGAGTGAGATTTTGTCTAAAAAAAAAAATTGGTAAAATAAAATGTCTTCAAAATTTAGACATTTGGTCTAAATTGGGTCTGATGTTAGGTTTGCTAAATGCTTTAAGATCATAAACTGCTTCTTTAACTTTTAAAAATTGTTCAATTTACCTAGCTTGGAGTCATTACTTTCTAGATAAGGCCCGGTGACATGTGAAATTAGCCCCCTAGCTGCTCAAAGAAGGTTAAAAAGAAAAGAGATTTTGTATAAGAAAGGATCTTGTATGGTAAATTTTTGTCCTAAAGTGAAATGACTGGTTGTTGAAATGACCATTGTCCAAGCATGTAATAGATGGTCTAAGCCATGAAAGGATTCATGAAAGGGAATTTATGCAAGAAACGTTGTACAATTTAAAGGTTATTAGGCTGCCTAAATGCTTCACAAACGCCACTGTGACTCTTAACTATACACTTACCTGCGTTACTGCTAGGTAAGTGCTGGGCATATGTGGAGATAGCCACATCCCATAGCTATGCTGGAAAAAGTCAGACTTGATCTGCACTTCTGTCCTTTGTCTGTCCTAAGCTCCACACTTGGTACATAATTAAAATGTCCTACTAACCAGGTTTTTCACCAAAAATAGAAGTTGCACAGAGTTAACAGTGTAACATGTATTGAGGCTACTGAAGAAACATTTCCACATTCAAGGCATGTAAGAAAAGTAGAATGTACTTTTGGTAAAAGATTATAAGAAGACCTGGGAATATGGATTTCTTTCCCAAGTTTAGAGGGTTATTGTTTTAAGTGAGACAGGAAAAGTCTAAAGGTTTTTTTTTTGTTTGTTTGTTTTTTGTTTTTTGAGATGGAGTCTCGCTCTGTCGCCCAGGCTGGAGTGCAGTGGCGCAATCTCGGCTCACTGCAAGCTCCGCCTCCCAGGTTCACGCCATTCTCCTGCCTCAGCCTCCCAAGTAGCTGGGACTACAGGCGCCCGCCACTACGCCTGGCTAATTTTTTGTATTTTTAGTAGAGACGGGGTTTCACCATTTTAGCCGGGATGGTCTCGATCTCCTGACCTCGTGATCCGCCCGCCTCGGCCTCCCAAAGTGCTGGGATTACAGGCGTGAGCCACCGCGCCCGGCCTAAAGGTTTAAGCAAGTTGTGAAAAGTTTATAAAAAATTAATTGTAAAAGAGATTCTGTGTGTAAACATATTGGCTAAAGTTAAAGGGGTATTAGTCAATGTTTCCATAAGTTGAACATTGGAATAAAAGCATAACAGAGTTTTCTTAAAACATGGTTCTGCTCTGTAACAACAACAACTAAATTGTAAAGGGTTATAAAAGGTTTATAAGAACATTAACTTATGGTCAAACTAATTAAAACTGGATAGATTTATAAAATTTTAATAAAAACTAGCTTTAGCATTAAAGGTGCAATAATGCAAACATGAAATTTGGTTTTCTCTTTTGAAAAAGATTCTTGTGTAATATTGAGAAGCAATGAAAAAATTTTGTTTGCCTTTTAAGGGAGGGGAGAGAGAAGTGACCAATTCAGGGGACGGCTTCACTGGGTCTTGTAGTTTGAGAAGCTGAGTCTCTTTTCTATCAAACTAAAGGTTTTTTCCTTTTTAAAACTTTGTGAGTTATCATTTTGGCTAAATAACTGACTTATGGTGACCTGGCATTCTATTTTGTGACATCCAGTGTTTTAAACCATATTTGACAAACCTGACAAGATCAAATTAGAAGTTAAACAAAAATAGGTCCCCTACAGTCCAAAAAGATATAATCTGCTTATTTAATGTATTAAAATCATGCAGAAAACATGGCCAAATATAAAATGATGTTTAACTTTCTTTGGGTTATATTCATATAAATACGTTATTAGCATGTGTTTCAAAACTGTATAAGATTCTTATAAGTTTGATATGCCTTAGCATATGTTATCAGTAATAATTATAATTGATACATTAAATTATTGTGTGCCACAGAGGTTAAAAATTTTCTTGTTTTATAATCAGCTATGAAACTTGGATGGGTGCTCTTGAATGCAAGTTTCTGATAGCTTTGGAGATTGCAACATTAGAATAAAGGAAAAAACGTTCAGGACTCTCATGGAGAGCTGACTTGTTCAGGAACATTAAGCAGAACAAGAGTTTACTGAATGGAATGAACTAATAGAAAACTGAACTAATCTTTTCCTTTTTTTTTTTTTGCTTAAAATGTGGCTGTTCCTTTTCATTTTTCAGAGAGCCAAGAAAACTTTTCTTTTGATTACAGCTTTTAACAACTGAGAAAAATATACTCCTGTGAACAAAATTTGGAGCATGTTTGTTTCTCTCTACCTGATTTCTCAAGAATCTGGAAGCTATTTGCAAGTATTCTTAATTTATGGCAACATAATTATTTGCATAAGTGCAATAAGAATGTTTTCTTTTGCAACAGGACACAATTGGAGAAACTGTTTATTTTACTAAGGTTTTGACTGGGATGGCATGCTTTTGTTTAAGGAATCAAACTTGATTTACAAAGCCAATAAAAACCCCTAGGGTAAACTGGCCTCATACCTTGTCTACGCAGTCCCTGTACAGGGTTCCTAACGTATGGTAAGTAAAGAATGTCACTTTCCAAAAGGCCCCGGAATCTTAAGTTATCTTGGGATCTCAAGAAGAGGGGAATGTACCCAACTCATAGGCATTTGAGGGTACAAACCCATGGCTGGGATGGGCTTTAAAAAAAGTCTATCTAAGACTCTTTATGCAGAGTTCCATCAAAGCCAACTTAAAAGGCCCATGTGAAAAATAATTATTCTTGCTGTGCTCTTTGCAAATAATCATGCCAAGTATAATAAAATTAAAGTTTATTTCACAAACAAAATCGGTCCTATCAGGATTTGTTTTTAATAAAAATAAGAACTGAAGAGAGAAAAAATTGTTTCAAAAACTACAGTACACCTGTTGTTAGTTGTTTTTGAGGATGTTTTTTTCTGCCATTTAGACTGAATCCTAAATTTTGGGAGGCTACAAGTGCTCAAACTAATGCTTTTAAGTCTTTACTTTTAAAACTGGGAATGGCACTCCTTGTTCCGGAACTCATTACTTACCTTATTGTACACTGTTTGTGTAAATGTCGTACTAAAACTGTAGATGAGAATACGAATGCCTTTGTCATGAAAGCCTTGGAAGCTCAGCCTGGCCTGCGTGAGTACACTCAAACAGCTCAGACAGCTGCAAAGCAGTTCCACTCCTCTCACCTTGGGGTCAACACCTACCCCACTATGCCCCCTGTCTGCAGGAAGAATCCAGAGTGATCGACGGCCTTTTCCCATCTTCATAGCCCACACCTTAAGAATAAGGTGCTATGAAACCCTAAGGGAGGGATTGAAACAGCCTTTGCAAAAATTATAACTGAGAAAATAATGACAGTGAAAGAGATCAGACCTAACCGACTCCATCTTGCTTCTAACCTTTAAGCTGTCCTTGTTCATTCCTGGGCATAGGCCGAACTAACCTCGGGAAGGAATTTGCAGACCCTGCACTCGATGGATCAGCTGACACCGCCTAGACTGGTAATCTGGCTCAATCAGTTCTGAGATCCTACCCAGGAACAGAAGATAGCAAGGAAACCTCACTTCGACCCCCTATGATTCCATCTCCAACTTGATCAATCAGCACTCCCCACTTCTCTAGCCCCTACCCGTCAAATTGTCTCTAAAAACTTAAGCTGAGCACGGTGGCTTACGCCTGTAATTCCAGCACTTTGGGAGGCCGAGGCGGGCGGATCACGAGGTGAGGATTTGGAGAGCAGCCTGGCCAACATAATGAAACACCGTCTCTACTAAAAATACAAAAAAACAGCTAAGCGTGGTGGCGGGCACCTGTAATCCCAGCTACTTGGAAGGCTGAGGCAGGAGAATCGCTTGAACCCTGGAGGCAGAAGTTGCAGTGAGCTGAGATCACACCATTGCACTCCAGCCCAGGCAATAGTGCGAGGCTCCATCTTAAAACAAAACAAAACAAATGCTCAAGAAGTCTGATTTGAATAATAATGAAACTCTGGTCTTCCGCAAAAATAAAGTAAAAATACAGGTAAGTTAATTCTAATAAGGTCTATTGTTACAAAGTCTTTTTGAGTTTCTATACAGCAGAACAATATTACAAGACAGAACCTTCAAAAACCACTTCATTGCAACTCTGAGTCCCTAAGGAAAAGAGAAAAAAATGTGGAAAAATCAAACGCTTTTTTAATGGCACAGAGGTCATTGTTTTCTTCTATAATTGCAACAGCAAAATCTAGATATCTGGGTATATATACATGTATATGTGTTTTTTACATTTTAGATAGCATGCCATTCTCCATTTTATGAAAATTTCATATAGAATACATATATTTGAAATATGAACTGAAAAACATTAAGCATTAATAAAGAAAATAATGAACATCTCCTACTGGAATAACTTACCATTATTGTTTTTATATTTATCAACAGCTCTAGAACTTTAACATGGACATATATAAAAGTGACCACTTCCTTAGAATTCCATTTTGAGTTCTCGTTTTGTTGTGTTTTATTTTGTTTTGTTTTGGTTTTGTTTTGGTTTGTTTTGAGACGGAGTCTCGCTCTGTCGCCCAGGCTGGAGTGCAGTGGCACAATCTCGGCTCACTGCAACCTTCGCCTCCCCAGTTCAAGCGATTCTCTTGCCTCAGCCTCCTGAGTAGCTGGGATTACAGGCGTCTGCCACCGCGCCCGGCTAATGTTTGTATTTTTTTTAGGTTTCACCATGTTGGCCAGGCTGGTGATTTCCCGTTTTGAAAAGTAAAGGTTTCAGCCGAACGGAGACCTACTTTCTGCTGTGTCACATCGCCCTCTGGTGGCTAAATGGCTTTCTTACACAGTAACCCCAAATAATAACTATCATATAAAAGAACTTTTTAAAAAATCGTGATAACATTAAAATGATTAGAAATATATAACTCATAAGCAAAGTCACAGCACTATGATATTTACATGTTTATCACACGTCAAATACATTTAAATATTTTGTGATGTGTGAATCTTCACATTCCTGAACCACCTATAAAGTTCCATTTCCCAAGGTTAAATTGAGGCAGGATTTTTAAAGACTTTTAACTAGCTAACAGAGAAAAGTGTACAATTTCCATTAACCTCCCCAGTGACAAGCTTTCTCAAGACCCAGCGAAGTTGTATGTGTGTTTGTGTTTTGTTTTTGTTTTTGTTTTTGTTTTGAGATGGAGTCTCGCTCTGTCGCCCAGGCTGGAGTGCAGTGGCGCCATCTCGGCTCACTGCAAGCTCTGCCTCCTGGGTTCACGCCATTCTCCTGCCTCAGCCTCTCGAGTAGCTGGGACTACAGGCGCCCGCCACCACACCCGGCTAACTTTTTTGTATTTTTTAGTAGAAACGGGGTTTTACCGTGTTAGCCAGGATGGTCTCGATCTCCTGACCTCCTGATCCACCCGCCTCGGCCTCCCAAAGTGCTGGGATTACAGGCATCAGCCACCACGCCCGGCCGTGTGTTTGTGTTTTAATATGGTTTTTCTGTGTATAAAAGCTATACGTGTTCATCTTAGAAAATTTAGAAATGACAGAATTTGATTTTGCTTATTCTAAATCCCTTGGGATTATTTCCAGTATAGATGGCAGTGAGGAAGGAATAATTTCAGGACACTGGCTTTCTTCTTCCACAAGACCCCAGCTGGGCAAAGGGAACTGGATGGCCTTGGGCCTGTGGCCCCAGTGCACCCTCCTCTGGGGCCTGTACCTGGCTCTGGATAGTAATCCCCACTGCAGAATGGAAGAGGCTGCTCCCACATAAGCCATTGAGTCCAGACTCCAGAAACCTGGGTCCGTGCAGTACTCAAAAAGGAAAGTACCGACCACCCAGACCAGAGCTGGCAAGAAGGTGAAATGGGATTGATTCATTCATTCAACAAATACTCGCTGAGCTCCAGCCGAATGCTAGGCACCATGTTCAGGATATAGATGATTGATGTAATCCCTGGCCTTGGCAGTTTGGGGTAAAGAGCTATCATCACTGCTGACTTCATAACAATCACATGCCTTCAGAGATAAAGTGAACACTCACTTCTAACAAAGCAAAAATAAGAAGAAAAAGAAATGCACACTCCCGATTTCTTTGTCCAAAGTGGTATGACTGGGTGATTTGTGACCTTCCCATTTGCATGCCCGATTGCCAAAAAGCATGGCAATTACCCCACACACCTTTACTCATCCCAAACTAACTATGCTGAAAACACTGCACAATGGAGATTTCCTTTATGCCTGCTCAGGCCTAACAGTTCCATATTCACTGGCCTGGCTGTCTTCTCCAAGCTGAAAGAGGCAGAGCCATTACCAGTATTTTTCTTGGAAGGGCAGGAAGTAAAAACACATCTGAGTAACACTCAAGAAAGTATTGTTTATGTCCAAGATGATGAATTAATCTTTTTTTATTCTCTCTTTCTCTTTTTTTTTTTTTTGAGACAGTCTTTCTCTGGCACCCAGGTTGGAGTGCAGTGGCATGATCACAGCTCACTACATCCTTGACCTCCCAAGTTCAAGCCATCCTCCATCAGTCTCCAGAGTTGCTGGGACTACAGGTGCACCTTGCCTGGATAAATTTTTTATTCTTTGTAGAAATGGGGGCTCACTATATTGCCCAGGCTGCATCTTTATTCTTTCATCCCATCCTCAACTAAAGTCATGTTACTGTAATAGAAGTGAAATACCATAGCCCCGTGTGCCTCAGCAGGCAGGGGCTGTCAGCACTCTTCATATTGCTGAGCATTTCAAAGCTGTGTTGGCAGCTGTTCCACAGTCGACTTCAGGGTCCCTGAGATGATTGGCTCTTGGAGATGATCCAGCAGGGTTCTGGTAGCTGAGCTCATCCACCAAGTCCACACTGGCAGTGAAAATGGCTTCTGGGCTTGGGGCTTTCTGGGCCCAGCCCCAGGGCAGACTGAGTCAACACATGAAGGACAGCCTTCTGCACCCACAGCAGACAGGGGAGGGGCAAAGGGAGACACGCGGTCCC
Organism: Homo sapiens; assembly: GCF_000001405.40. Lineage (NCBI taxonomy): Eukaryota > Metazoa > Chordata > Mammalia > Primates > Hominidae > Homo > Homo sapiens. The sequence continues at coordinate 20,611,888 of NC_000015.10, forward strand.
AGTGGGGCAGGGAGGCTAGAACACGGCCACACCCTTTGCGAGCCACAAACATTTTTGCTGAGCACAAAATTCTCTCCAGCTGGGCAGACAGAGGAAAAAAGCAAAATGAATGAGTAGAGCACGTGGCACATCATCAGGGAGTTCCATGGAGGAAAGTGGAGCAGGTGAAGGGCAGGACGAGGGACATGGAGTGCCAGCTAGGGGCTCGAGAAAGTGATGGCAAGAGCTATGTAAGGCTGACATTGGGATATGGTTCTGAAGGGAGTGAGGATGGTGACGTGGCTGTGTGTGGAAAGGGAATGTCAGGCGGGGGTGACAGCAGGGATAAATGCCTGGAGAGCATGGCTGTGTGTGGAAAGGGAATGTCAGGCCGGGGTGACAGCAGGGATAAATGCCTGGAGAGCAGAGTGGCCCGCTATTTCCCAGGAGGAAGGACCTGTGGCTCAAGTGTCAATGAAAGTGAGCGGAGAGGGCTGAAGTCGGGGTAACAGGGCCAGCCTGTGTGCAGCCCCCTGGATGTGGGCGAGGGAGTTGTCTCTGCCGTGTGAGAGGAACAGCCACAGGAGGGCTTTCAGGAGAGCGCATGGTGTGAGGTTTTTCAGACTCACTGTGGCTACTGTGGGAAGAGTGTTTTAGGTGCCTCCCCTTTACCCCACTGGGTCAGCAGGGTTTCTGCCCTAGGCCTAGGGGGATGGCTGCACACACACGCACGACACTTGACAGAGGAGATGAGCACTGGCTTATTAGCCACATAGACAGACTCATACCCCGAGGAGGAGAACCCCAGGCCATGCAGGGGGAATCCGCGGGACTGAACAGCCCTGAGCTCAGGAGAGGGTCTACATGCATTGCAATTAAAAAGGAAATGCAGCCGGGTGTGGTAGCTCATGCCTGTAATCCCAGCACTTTGGGAGGCCGAGGTGGACGGGTCACCTGAGGTCAGGAGTTTGAGACCAGCCTGGCCAACACGGAGAAACCCCGTCTCAACTAAAAACACAAAAAAATTAGCCATGTGTGATGGTGCATGCCTGTTATCCCAGGTATTCGGGAGGCTGAGGCATGAGAATCACTTCAATCTGGGGGGCAGAGATTGCAGTGAGCTGAGATCACACCACTGCACTCCAGCCTGGGTGACAGAGTGAGACTGTGTCTCGAAAAAAAAGAAAATGCATGCCGTCAAGTCCGCTCGTGCCGAGATGAGGTGTCTCCAGTTGTCCAGCATCACATCGCGGTACAGGGTCCTCTGAACAGGGCCCAAGCGCTGCCAATCCTCCTGGCGGACCCCCAGCCACGTCCTTGAATGACACTGATACCTGTAATTGTGCATTTCTCAGCACTTTGGGGGTACGGAAACAGGGACATGGAAAACACATTTGGGATGTGATTCCTACTATGTTTATTGTTGCAAATCTAAACAAGTTACTGTAAGGTATGCCTATTTTAGTTCTAGTTTTGCCTTACGCTTTTGGGGTAACTCAAGCAGTAAACATATTTTGAACATCGTAACTCATTTGTACATGAGCGTGCATTAGATACATATACTATCATGTACTAAGCTAACACTAGTATTGTTTTAAAAAATTCTTATTTAGGTGAAAATCAGTGTAATTAGAGTTTTCACAATTTCCTTTCCACACTTTAAAAGATCATCTTGGGCATTCCCTGGGCTGTACACACCCTCCTTGAAGATCCTGCTGTGGCTACTGGGGAGTCTGTAAAGTGATCCATGTAAGGCCTGAATGTGCTGTATCAGACTTATGTCAAAGAAGCAATGCTTCAGAAGAGTGGACGGTGGCTGAAGGGGAAGCCAGAACCAGAGACCTGAAAAAGAGATGACCGCCTTCACTAAAGCAACAGCAATGGGGAAAGGAATCGGGGACTAGTCCCATGGCAGAAGCCGCAACGGAATTTGTCATCCATTTCTTGAGTGGCTTCCCTGAATGAGTAGCTGGGTCAATGCTGGTGCCATCTATAGTATTAAGGGAAAGATGGCAAAGTCAGAGTCTATAAATGAGGATTCTACGGCAGTTCTGGACCTTGTGGAACTTTATGTCTAACTGGAAAGATCCAGAAATGGCAGTTTTCACTAATCTGCGAAGTGCAGAGGCAGGGGCAGCACGGGCTCTGAGGACTGAGATGAGGAAGGACAAGTGGAAAGAGAAGAGGATCGGTTTTGTGGATGAGGCCATCAGACTTGACTCATGACAAACCAGGAGGAATGGAGAAGCTGATGGGGCAGGGTTCAAGGTCCATGCAGCCCCAGTGAGAGCATGAGGTGAAGCTGTGTCAGAACAGCAGGATGTGTCCGGGATTTAGTCGCACCTGAGAATAAAGTTACATGGTGAACTTTTCTCATCACTTTCCCCAGTGGACAGTAAACCCCACTGTGGGAAACGGCATTTTCAGCTGTAACTGTGCAGATGCCACACCCCTGGGCAGTCCTCACTCTGCAGGCTCCGATTCTCACAGCGCCCAGTGATGCCAGCAAAACACTTTATCAGGAGTGTCCAATCTTTTGGCTTTCCTGGGCCACACTGGAAGAAGAACTGTCTTGGACTGCACATAAAATACATTAACACTAACAAAAGCTGATGAGCTAAAGAAAAAAAATGACAAAAAATACCTCATAATGTTTTAAGAAAGTTTACAAATGTTTGTTGGGCCTCATTCAAAGCTGTCCTGGGCTGCATGCAGCCCGGGGGCTGTTGGTTGGACATGAAGGGGATTCTTAGAGAGATTTCACTGCACTGAATGCTCACAGTTTATTTACATAACAGTTCAAACTCCAGTTATCACTGTGCCTTCAAAGTGCACACGTCGCTCCTAGCACCTCTGCCCACCAGCCTCTACATGAACACCAGGAGCACGTGGCGATCGGTGACCAACCACACCACTCCCTTCAGAATCTGCAGGGCCCTTCCCTCCGCATGCACAGCTCGGTTCCTGTACAGACAACACCACGTGTAGTCATCTTGCTTCTTAGATTCCTAGTAATAAAACCACTCGGAATGTTACAAAGATAAAAACTGGAAGAGTGGATTGGCCAACAAAGAGGAAAGTGCAGGAAAGAAAGGAAGAGTGACAGCCTCGGAAGTACCATTCAGACCTCCAGGAAAGGGCACTGTGGTGCTGCCTCTGTGGGTGCTGACATTGCACTGGTCAGGAGGTGCACCAAGCCAGGCTAGGGGCCACCAAGCCTGGCTTTTAATACATTTTTATAAAGAAATAAGCTTGAACTATCGGTGTGTCTAAAGATTTTAAATTACAATATATGAAATAAATATCAGTTTTCCTGAGTTTCGTTTTCATGTGTTCATATGAAGACAATATGCAATGGTAAGAGACATGTTAACGTGTGGATAAAAAAATTCAAAGGTTGCAGAACACTCATGATTTTCTCCACTGATTATTAAGATCACTTTATAGTTTTGGCTTGCATGGTCGTTCTTATAGTCACAGACTACTATGCGAAGTGAGGACTATGTCGATATAAGGAAATCTTTGTTGGATAGAAGAACACTAGGAGTTTCAAAAGGAGACATGGGAAGAAGTCATGTCCCCAAAGTCCTCTATTTGGTACTGAGAAGCTACTCACTTCGGTATAAGGAGGGGGTGACAGACTTTCCAGAGGGAGGAGGCATTATCTGAGTTCAGACGAAAGATGTGCTGAGCAGGGCAAGAGACAGGTGACCTGGTTCAGGAGAGAAAACAAAACTTTGAAATATATTTAAGAATATAAAAAACTGGCCGGGTGCGGTGGCTCATGCCTATAATCCCAGCACTTTGGGAGGCCAAGGCGGGTGGATCACGAGGTCAGCAGTTCCAGACCAGCCTGGCTGAGATGATGAAACCCCGTCTCTACTAAAAATACAAAAAATTAGCCGGACTCAGTGCAGGTGCCTGTAATCCCAGCTACTCGGGAGGCTGAGGCGGGAGAATTGCTTGAATTTGGATGGCAGAGGTTGCAGTGAGCCAAGATCATGCCACTGCACTCCAGCCTGGGTGACAGAGTAAGACTCCGTCTCAGAAAAAAAAAAAAAAAAGGATATAAAAAACTGATAGTTTTGACCTAAAAACAGCAAAACTAGAAAGACCCAATGCCCAACTGGATGTGGCAGGAGCTGAGAGGGCGGGAGGGTGGGTTAGGGTGACATTGTCCCCAGGGAGCAGGGGGATGGGTGTGATGTGGGAGCCACCCCAAGCCGTCCGGTGCCTGGCCCTGGGGTGACCAGGTGAGGGAATCAATATTCCTGCAGGACAAGAGCCACATAAAGAAGGTAGTGGAGGGGGGAGCCTATAGGAGCAGTTAATTTGCTTGTGAAAGGCGTGTTTATCACCTCTAAGAATTAGCTGGCCCTGGGAGGAGCAGTCTTTCCCCAGCCAGAGAGGCCCCAGATGCCAGAGCACCAAGAACACAGAAATAAATAAAAACATGGGTAACGTATTTGTCTGTAGTCAAGTCACTGGTGGGTGGAAGCCATAGGCAAATGGTTTCCATTTGTGATAATGGAATTTCCACGAGAGAAAATGCACCACCAAACAGGGATTTGGAACATGAATGATAAGCGTGGAAACATTTTGCAGAGAGCAGGATCGTAAGCTGTCAAGAGACTTGCAGATCACAAGCATTACTATCTTAATGGACATCCATTCTCCCTCCAGGTATTCCAGACTTTATCCCCGCCAGAGGCAAGAACATCATAAAGACATCGACCTCCACTTCTGGAAGCCAGTACTGAGCTCTGGCTTGCCACACTGCCTTCCTCTTCCATTGAAGAGCCAGCAGGGACAGCAGCCTGTGTGAGCTCAGGGTTGTCACTGCAAGGTGGTTGCTACATGACTTACACAAAGACATTTTTCAGATTTCACTTTTCTTTTTCTCTCACGAGGAATCAGTTAGGTTTATGCTTCTTATCAATGCACATATTTAAACACATAGTATCCCTCATGGCCTTGGCTATCATTATGCTCAGAAATAGCTTTGTACCAAGAGTAACTGTGTATGTCTACATGCCAACTTTGCCTTGCAATTGATCAGTTCTATGTTTTCTCTGGTTAATTGGACCATTGGACTACATTTAGACACACAGACCTTGAACCCCCCTACAGAAGCCATTGTAAAGCAAGGTGGTTGGTTCCTAAACAGATCACCTGAAACCTTCTCATTTTCTGTTGTTCTGGAAGGAGTGAGGAGGACAGGAAGGTGTCACAGAGCAGGGAGGAAGGAGAAGTGGAGTTGAGTGAGACCTGAATGGTCTTACCGCTCCTACATCGCATCCACATGCCTGAAACCCTGGACCCTGGGCCAGGTGAAGTCTTCCCTGGGGTGTACTCTTCCTTGGCCCTTGAGCCGAAGCAGGAGGGCCCCGTAGAGGCAGCACAGCCTGTCCACCCACAACGCTCATGAGTATGTGGACTCACATTTGTAGTTTTGCAGAGAGTTAATGTCAACTTTGTTGTCCATTGACTTATTAACAACTTATTTCTCCTTTGCACGGAAAAAATTCAGAGAATTGATAATATAGATTACAGTAGCCAAAGAATGAAACAACATGGTATAGAAAAAATAGCCTTATTGTTTGGCTGCATTCCCACTAGCGCTGTTGAGACTTGGGAGCACCAGGCAAGTCTCTGAAAAGGGGATGAGGAAGCCGAAAGCAAGCTGCATTTTGCTTGGCTCTAACTTCCTCTGGGTTTTCCCAGTGAATCTTTTGTTATGAAGTTTCTGGTCATTTACTGCGACAGAGAGAACAGCAGAGCCCTGAATTTTCCTCCTGGCCCTGTTGTCCACACATGGGCTATCTTAGATATATTATTCATTCTCAAGATGTCTTTCACCTTTCAAGCTCAGCACCTTTCTCCAGAAGCCTGCTCCTCTGTGCTGTGTTTCTGGCCTCAGTGAGTGAGGACAGTCACCCAGCCATCACGCGAGGAACTCAGCGGCCATCTGTGCCTTCATCTTCCTTGCAGTCAGAGGATCACTAAGTCTCACTGTTCTTCTTTAAAGCCCTCCCCATTTCTGCCCTGAATTACTGCAGCCGCCTCCCTGCTCTGCCATCCATCTGGGCATTACTGCCAGGGTAATCTTTCCGTATGTGAGTGCTGCTGATATTGGTTCTCCAAAAGGACTGCTGTGGCTCCTGTCTCCTTCGGGGTGAGATTCGAGCCATGGAGCAGCAGCTTCAGCATCCAGTCCATTTGTTGGGTCTCAGGTCCTCCAGTTTTCCTTGGATTCTCCTTCCTCACCAATCCACCGCACACTTCACTCCAACCACACAAAACACAGTTTTCAGAACAAGCCACACTGCTTCATGCCTCCCATCGGGGTCTCTCAATCTCCGTATTATTTATGCTCGGGGCTGGAGAGCTGTGTTGTAGGGGCCTGGCCTGTGTGCTGTAGGATGTTAGCAGCAAACCTGGCCTCTACCCACCACGTGCCAATAGCATACCCACCCCCCAGTTTTGATAACAAAACACCTTTGGACATTACCAAATGTGCCCTGAAAAATCATCCCCAGTTGAAAGCAGTTGCTCTTTGCTTTTACAAATGCTGGTCCTTTTACCTGGAATAACCTTCCCTTCATACTGAACTCCTACCCAGTCATCTCTTCGAAACTTCAACCCAGTCATCTTCAAAGCTTCAAAAGTCAACCCAGTCATCTCTTCTTCTCTGGTGACCTCCTTGCTCAGGCACAGCCAGAGCTAATCCTTATTTTCCTGGTGAAGCCAGCATTCTTTGTAATACCTCTAAAATCAAGCTCATCTCACTATACTGGAGTCTTTTGCTTGCAAGTGTCTTTCTTTGCACTGGCCTATGAGTGTCCAGGAGAAATGGCAGAGATCATGGCTTCTTTGTGCCCTCCTTGTCTGGGGTAGATCCTAGCAAGGCACACACCTGGGGAAAGTTTGTTCAAAGAAGGAACTGAATTCATCTTATTCTCTCATGTTAATGGCAATTAAAACATGTTCCTTTATGGTGATGTTGACACCAATATTTTGTGTTTACTAAGATAAAGTCTAAACCAAAACTGGAGCCTAATTTTGCTTCTGAGGTTCTGATTTAGAATGCTAAAAGGAAACAGGTGTGAAAGCTAAGCACTTATTCTACAGGTGGGAATGTCAATGATGGGGAACAAAATCAAAATTCCTTATGGAGCCCAACCAAGCCGTCGTTTCTTCTCATCATAAAACTGATCTTAGCGGCATTTATTTAGGGTCTAATATATGTCATGCTATACTAAGATTTAATGAGATCACTATCTGATTTCCCAAATCTTTCTGAAACAAATAGATTAGCAAATTCTACCATAAACTTACACAAATTGGCATCAACTTTTGAAAAGCTGGCATTTGCACATAAATTACTATTTCATGATGACTCTATGTACAACAGATGTCTGATGTATTCTCCCAGCTCTAGAATAGTCAATAGAGGAATAAGAATATCAAAATTATTAAGCAAATCCAGAAAGTGAAATTTTTACCCAGGCAACTGGTCTTATCCCTTCAAAAATCGATGTAAATCACTAGACAAGGAAAACACGTTACCAAACACTAAAGAATTAATCCTGGAAAAGGTAAACATACAGGTAAATATAAAATACTTTTATCTTGCTTTTCATAATTTTTTATGAAATAATTTACAGTTTAAGCAAAAATAACAAAGCATGATGGTGTTTAGGACGTATGTAGAAACAAACTGTATGAAAGTATGGCTGTGGCATGTCATTGAAACATATACATATATGTTTTCATCCACAGTTCCTTGTTCATAACTCTCATAGCCCTTGTGACAGTAAACAGAATCTCTCTCTCACACCTTCTCCTGCCCTTCTTTCCCCTGCCCATGGCTGGATTCTGTGGGTCATGAGACCCTCATTCCAAAGAGGGTTTTGTCTCATAACCTGGAGGAAGGAAGGCTACACAGAGAGGCCAAGAAGAATCTGAACACACAGGCCTTGCTGGGTTTAGAACCCATTTTGTCCAATCACATTTCCACAGTCACCCATGCTTCAATCAGGCCTATCCAACAAATTCCCCATATAAAGACCCAAGAGGACAGGGTTTGGAAGCTTCTGGAGAGCTGAACACATGAAGGGTGACTAAAAGGTGAAGAACTCATTCACGTGCTGAGAGGGTGGTGCTCCCTGAATCCACATGGACACAAGCTCCTGCACCTGGGACCCTTCAAAATCTTCCAGACCTCATCCTGTGTGTATCTCTTCATATGGCTGTCCATCCGTATCCTTTAAAATGTCCTTCATAATAAACTGGTAAACAACATAAGCATTTCCCTGAGTTCTGTGAGCCACTCCAGCAAATTAATCAAACCCATAGAGGGGATTGTGGGAAGCCCAGCTTGAAGCCAGTTGATTAGAAATTCCAGAAGCCCGGACTTATGACTGGTGTCTGGGGGTGGGGAAGTGGCAGCCTTGCAGAACGGGCCCTCTCTTTGTGGGATCTGATGCCAGCTCTGGGTAGATAGAGTTGGAATTGAACTGGAGGACGTCCAGCTGGTGCCCACTGCAGAGGTGACTGCCTGCTTGCTGGTGAGGAGAAAGCCCCCACATACTCAGGGTCTCAGAAGTCTGCTGTGTAGATTGCTGTTGTGTTGGTGTGGACACAGAGGAGAAACAGTTCGGGTTTTTCCTAAGAATGACAGTAGCACAAAAGATGGGAGGAGGAGATAGAAATATATTGTTGCAAGGTTTTTACAATATACGTGAATGGGTATCATATTATATGAAATTAAATGGTGATAAGTTTAAATTGCAAAATATAAATCCAGAGAATTCTTCTGGCCCTTATCCAAGACCATCAAGGCAGTACTTCTCTGAGTCTGCAAGAATCACAGTGTTACTGGGTTTGGGGTGCCCCCTAATACAGATATGGCTTAGACTGCAACACCCAAGTCCCTTGGAATACCTGGAAAGCTTTCCCAGAAAGGATGGGTACAAACAAGCCCAACTGCAAAGATGACACTGCCTAACTCTTCAATGCCCAGACACTACCAAACATCCACAAGCATCAAGACTCTCCAGGAAAATATGGCCTCGTCAAATAAATAAGTCACCAGGAGCCAATTCCAGAAAGACAGAGGTATGTGATCTTTCAGAGAATTCAAAATAGCTGTTTTGAGGAAACTCAATGAAATTCAATATAACACAGGGAAGCAATTTAGGATCCTAGCAAACACATTTAACAAAGAGATTGAAATAATTTTTAAAAATCAAGCAGAAATTCTGGAGTTAAAAAATGCAACTGACATACTAAAGAATGCATCTGAATCTCTTAATAGCAGAATTGATCATGAAGAAGAAGGAATTAGTGAGCTTGGGGCCAGGCCTGGTGACTCACGCATGTAATACCAGCATTTTGGGAGGCTGAGGCTAGCAGATCACCTGAGGTCAGGAGTTCAAGACTTCCCTGGCCAACATGGTGAAACCTCATCTCTACTACAAATACAAAAATTAGCCAGGTATGGTGATGGGCACCTGTAATCCCAGGTACTAGGGAGGCTGAAACACGAGAATCACTTGAACCCAGATGGCGGACGTTGCAGTGAGCTGAGATTGGGCCACTGTTCTCTAGCCTGGGTGACAGAGCAAGACTTTGTCTTTAGAAAAAAAAAAAAAAGATTTAGTGACCTTGAAGACAGGCTAATTGAAAATACCTCCTAGTCAAAGGAGACAAAAGGAAAAAAATGAAATAGAATGAAGCAGGCCTAGAAGATCTAGAAAATACCCTTCAAGTGGCAAATCCAAGAGTTATTGGCCTTACAAGGAGGTAGAGAGAGATAGGGGTCCAAAGTTTATACAAAGGGAAATTTCTTACAACTGCATGTGAAATGAATCTATAATTATACACACAATTTTAGTTGTAAAAAACTAGATAAAATAGTCTTTTTGAACAGACATTTCACAAAAGAAGATAAAAAAAGGCCAATAAGCACATGAAAGATTCTCAGCATAATTAGTTCTCTGGAAATGCAAATTAAAATCATAATGAGATACTACTACATACCCATTAACATAGCCAAAATTACCCAAATAACCACCCAGAAAAATACCAAATATTGGCAAGCATACATTTCTGTATGAGAGAAGCAAGGATGTCATATATTTAATGGAAACTATCACACATTCCTGGTGGAAATATAATGCAATGAGTTTTATTATCATTCTATTTATACATTTTTAAAAAAGGGAGCAACGGCAGGTCATTTACTTATAAAAGTCTCAAAATCATTCTACCGGTGACTTCCTTTCATAAATAACCACTCTCTATAAAACACTTGCCAAGAAACACATGGATCCTACAAGGGTCGGGTGTTACTCTTATCAATCATTATTGATAAACAATTATGATGAGGGGACCCAAAGAAGGCGATGTACCCGCTGTGGCACCGGTGGCCACAAGGTGGCGTGAATGTCGAGCGGCTGCCCCAGCCACCTAGAAAGAGATTGGAGCAGCCAGGCTTCCAGAAGCAGAGGAGGCCTCACAGAGGGCACCGAGACTAGACAGGAACCTCTCACCTTGTGAATTTCCCTAAAGAGGGGTCTTCCTAGATAAGCTTTGAAGGAAGACCCAGTACCTACACAGTAAGGCACAAGTTACTGTGAAGAAATCTACGTCAAACTAGATGAGGCCTATGTTACCTTAACTACGGCCTCATTTACCCTACCTAGGACCTGATGGGGCTTAAATTATCCTACACCCACATTATTCTAGATCAGGGTTTCTTAGCCCTCTCATTATTGACAGTTTGGGCTGGAGAATTCTTTGACTCCTCGGTTTGGGGAGCCTCTGCCCACCTGCCCAACTGTGGCAAACAAATTCATCTCCAGTCCTTGCCCATGACCCTTACTGGGCAAAATTGCTCACAGTTGAGAGCCACTGCCCCAAATAAGGCTTAAATTACTAGTAAGGCTGATATTACACCAAAACCAGTCTCCATTTTCTTAGATCAATGGTTCTTAAACTAGAGCCTGCAAAGAATCCCCGAAGGAGCTTGTGAAGCTGCCTACACCTGAGCCTTCCCCCGGAGTTCCTGGTTTCTGTGTCTAACCTATTTCTAGATGATGTAGATGCTGTCGATGCAAGGACCTCACTTTGAGAAGCACTGTCCCAGATGGTGACTACATTACCCATACGCACATTTCTCTAAAGCCTCCATTTCCCTAGGACCACCTTATCCTAATTGAGGCTTACAACAGACTTGAGGTGTTCATGTTACTATTTTTATTATTAAGGTAAAACCAGGAAATTTTCATAGAAAAGAATTCAAAAGCTTCTGAACAAGGTATTATATGCATAGAAATACCTCAACATAACATAGATGCTGGGAAACAAAGGCATTGTCAGCCTTGGGCATGAGGAAGGGCAGGGTGCAGGCAGGGCACAGGCAGGGCTGCTGGCTTCAGCCCTGGGTCTTCTTTGAAGATGGAAAAGGAAAACAATAGAAGACATCAGTTTAAACAAATACTTCAGTAATTTTCATGTTGAAATTAGAAGAGCTTCTGTTGCACTTTGGGAATTGCTACTTTATTTTGACTCTAGATATGAATAAGCAAATAGCATGCTACTGCAATCAACTTTGACAAAGACAAAATTGTACTGGTGACTTTTTCAAGGGCAGCTTATGGAAGACGTCCGATTACAAACTTGGTGAATGGCGAAGAATATTCATCCCTCACAGATTTTTTAAAATTATCTTGGTTTTTAGTAAAAATCACGTTGTCTTTAACAGCCACAGACACCAAAGAAGTTCTACCACATCATTTTTTCATATGATTACGGCTCATTTATAAGAATTTCTACTATTTCAAAGTGTATTTATTTGTAACTCAAAAGAAGATCAGTCTATTTTTCTGCCTACTCGGCTGTAGAATACCACCCTCTACTAATGGCTCATTGACTCAAGGTTACCTTAAAGGAAACCAGACCCAGGTCAAGAATGAATCAAGCCCTGTGCATACTCAGTGCTATTCATGTGTTCACAGAATGATTATGGGACAGACATTGCACGTGGGCATTTGTTTTATATTTGCATCACGTGGAGGTTTACATAGCAAATATTAACTATTCCAGGCCAGGCCTGATGGCTCACGCCTGTAATCCCAGCGCATTGGGATGCAGAGGCGGGTGGATCACCTGAGGTCAGGAGTTCGAAACCAGCCTGGCCAGCATGGTGAAACCCCATCTCTACTAAAAATACAAAGTGAGCCGGGTGTGACACCACACACTTGTAATCCCAGCTGGCTCACAGAGCATTTTTCTCTAAGCATCTCAAGCCCAGTATGAAGTGGACGTGTCCTGGCTCAGAATGTTCCCTCAGTGACAGCAATTGCTCCTCACACCACCTCTTACAATAGGAATAGGCCTTAGAAAACCCAGCAATCTATTGGGATACTTCAGCGCAGCAAGCAAGGAATCACTAAAGCCACCAGGGGGCCCCTCCCCTGGAGCTCCATATGCACTGATACCTCCAGACACATGGCAAGTGCAGGAACTGATGGGGACTTTGGGGCAGCCTCTTTTTTTTAGGATTCTGTGGTTGAAGATTATATCAGATTAGAACTTTATGCACAGACCCTGTTTCTCAAAGCCCCTGCCCCCACACTCACAGTGGAATATTTGCACAGTAACAAACCTCAAATTTGCCCTCCTTCCTAGTGTCTTGCCAATGAAAAGTGCTTCCGACTCTGACCCTAGTCCTGCTTATGTTTGTTGTTTTGTTGTTTGTTTTTTCCAAGCAGAGCTAAAGCAAGCTCAGTACTATTGGAGATTTGGAAAGTGCCTTCACATTGTCTTTGCCAATTCTCACCTGAGAGCCCTGCAGACGCCCCACGAGAGGAAAATCTAAGGTCATTGAGGGAGGGGCCGTGATCTTGGTCCTGAAGCTGTTGCTTTCAGAGGCTTTAAATCACTTCACTGTACTTGACTTGTTCTCTCCCAGTGCCTTTGGTTTCCCTAAGTTCTAGTCCTTAGACAGAGCATGTGCCTTGCAAAACTTTTCTCTTTAATCCATCTTAATCCTAGTGAGCAGGTGATATGGTGGGCAGGGGAGCAGTATATGTTCAATGATTTCTTGCTGTGCTTTCTTTAGGCTGTACCCTTTACAAGGAGTCTCCAGTCATACAGCTGATTTTCCTCCGTCCTCTACTCCACCTCCTGGCTGCAGCATACACAGATTATTGTCTTGAATCTGACCCCAGTTGTTTATTAATTATACCCCTTTTCATGACACGGGAAGGCTAAGATGAAGCTGTCTGGGATGGAAAAGAATCCCTTCCTCTCACATAGAATAAAGATCTTGAAAAGTATTTTTTCTTTGTAGGGTCTGTCTGGAGAAAGTTCTGGGCATATTTATCAGAAAATAGTTCTCCGGATGACAGAGCCATGAGGGCATCTGTTTGAATTCTCGTCTTGAGAACCCAGAAGCTTTTGGAGGGAAATTCCATAAAAGTGTGAGGTGTGTGGCCCCCAGTTCTTACCCTACCCTTTCCCTGCTTCTCCTCCAGGCATTTATGGAATTACCATGTAACTCTTCGCACCAGCTTGTGCTTTCAATGGAAGAATCACCCAATCTATCAATTTAGAAAGGAGATTTTATTTCTGAAAAAGGGTTGGAGCTGCAGGACGGCCATCTTAACAGGCTGGAAAGCAAAGCCTCCCACAGAGACTGTGAGCAGGCACTTCAAGAGAGGGAAAGACAAGAAATGAATTCATGCGAATGGATTGGCCAAGCGTACACACTCAGCAGGCTATAGAAGGACCTATTGATAGTCACATGACAGGCAGGCTCTCATGTGTAATAAGCAAACACAAACGTTACATGCATTTCATATTTGCTTTTGGGTGAGGACATGAGAACTAGATGAATTACAATCTGGCTCTGTACACGAAAACGGCTTTGTGCAGGGGCAGAAAGACACACAGTGCACAGCCTCCGGAAATTGGCCAGGACAAGTCCATGGTCAGTCTCAGCTCTTTTTCCTCAACTTCAGTTCTACCTGGTTCCACTTCAGCACTGTGCCTGGAAACTCCCTTAAGGAAGCATCTGAGCGTGCATTCATCAGAGGACTCCTTTTGTTTATTTCCCACCTCTCAGCAATTACTGTCCTTGTTACCTGTTGTCACACATCATAAAATTGAATTTAAGAAATTTCACTATGTTTTACAAGTATTTCTGGTGGAAAGATACATCTGGTCTCTGTTGTTAAACCTAGTTTGAAAGTGATCATCTTGCACAAAAAATATTAGAATTAATTTTATGATGTTCACCAAGATTTATCTTGGAATGTATACAAATATTCAACCTTAAATTTCAAGGTATCACAAAATTTTGTTACATATATATATATATACTCTATATATAGTGTTTATTTTGTCTTACATATATATTAATTATACCAATAGAATTATATAGTGTTATTTTGTTTTATATATATATAAACACTATATATAGTGTTTGGTATATATATAGTGTTTATTATATATAATATATATAGTGTTTATTTTGTTATATATATAAACACTATATATAGTGTTTGGTATATATAGTGTTTATTTTATTATATATAATATATATATAGTGTTTATTTTGTTATATATATATAAACACTATATATAGTGTTTGGTAGAATATCATACCTAATTTTAAAATATTCAAAATATCTATATCTGTCACATAAGTAAAGCACAAGCTCTACATTGCCCTAATAGAAGAGCTTCCTATTTGTCTTTCTCCCACAATGTCAGGGGATGAAAGCAGGTGGTCCCCACTGAGAGTACTTCCTGGATTAGATCCTTGGAATGTCAGTTTCCTGCCTGATCATCTCATTTTCATTCCTCAAATCAGAACATGAATTCCATCTTGAGTTAACTTCTCCTCCAGAGTATGAAAGCATCATTCCTGCTGCTTCTCCTCTAGGCTGATTCAACAGGATGTGCTTCATCTTTTGCACTGTGAAGATATTCTTTGGGGTCAAAAGCCCCTTCCTGGCTATCTGGTTGTCTGGCGATGCGCTCATTATTGTCCCTAGAACCTTCCTGTATCCTGGTCCCTGGAGTATGCTCTTGGCCTGGGGGTTCAGTTCCTTCCTGAAACATGATGTTTTGCTCAGCTCCAGCATGAGGCTGTAGAACTGGCTCAGTTCCTAATCCTGGAAGCTGGGAGGAGTTTTTCAGGTGGTAGTGGCACAGAGGGCAGGTCTCCTGGACATACAGCCATTTCTTAAGACAGCCTGCATGGAAAAAATGAACGCAAGGCGTGATCACAGCAGATTTCATGTCCCAAACAGATTCTTATCGAAGGAGTTACCTGATAACAGATGGCACAAATATCATTGTGTTTCTCAAGCTGCTCTTTCGTAGCAATGGGTAACGATTTAATCTTATTCACAGCATCCCTGTGGAGAAGAAAGCTCTTCCACCCCAGCTGGGCCTGAAGCCACACGTTATAGTAGGAATGAATGGATGATCATTGAGCCCATCACTGTCCATTCTCCAAAGATGGTCTCTGAGACGCAATAGGCCACCATACAGACGGCCGCAAGAAACTCCAGCAGGTGGTAAGTGCCATTCACATAGTAGATGACATCATCCATGTTTTCCACCGGCTCTTTTCTGAATTCCTCAACCGTAAATCAGACATAAATAAAAAGTGTTCCCAGAACCTGAAGAGAGGTAAGAATGCTGCTGGAAATAATGATAAGAAGCCAAAAATCCAGGTGGAAAAACTGGCAAATCATATAAGCCATATGAGCAGGGAATACCAATAAAAATAAACAAAGTCGCACAGCACGGAAGTGTTTCCACAAGCTCTTGTCTCTGGATGCTCCCAGTGCCAAAAAAATAGGATCTGCAATTTCTAACATAGACTGTAGGATAGAAGCTGCAACAATGAAAAGGATAATACTGAGCAGGAATGCCCGATGAACAACCTGCAGTTCTATCAGCCCAGTCTGCACTGCCAGGATTAACAGCGTTACTCCTCCTGTCATGCCCCAATTCATGGCAGGATCATTCCTGAAAGCTCGATAACCCTGCAAGTAAAACTCGCAGAGTGTGAGAACACCCAAGGCAACAAAAGAAACCGTGAAGACCAAACCCAAAAGAGAGTAAGGAGTGCTGCAGCATTCTGCAATACTTGTCAGAAAAAGGAAAAGAAGCCTCTCACGTGATGCCGGCTGATCTCGAGTACTGAAATAGGAGTAAATCTGAAGAGCAAATAAGATGAGCCAGAAAACCATGAAAAGAACAGGGACTACCAGTTGATTCCACAAGGACATTCCCAAGGTGAGAAGGCCATATACCTCCACTACCTGAACCAATTCTCTGTATGCAGATTTAGCAAGGTTATAAGGTAGCAAAAGATTAGACCCAAGAAAATAGAGAACTTCCAATCCAGTAAAAATCATAGCAAATTTATTGATGATAACAATTGTCTCCAAAGGAACAAGGCAGAGTCGTGCTAGCAGAGGAAGCACGTGAGCTGAAAACAGCCAAATCTGCTTTGTTTTCATGACACAGGAGCATAAAGTACACACCACCAACTGACCTATTAAGGCTGTGGTAAACCGATTCATAGAGAGAGGTTCTAAATACATTGGTCCCTCACAGGCAAACTGCAGTTCGCTCCGAACGTAGTCCCTGGAAATTTGATGTCCAGTATAGAAAAGCAGAGCAGTCAAAAAATATAGATAAAGCTGAACCAGATGTTGCCTGGGCAATGTTAGCAGCACCACACTTAAGATATAACCTCAGGCTGTGGACTCCCTCCCTGGGGAGCGGTGCTGCCGGCGGCGGGCGGGCTCCGCAACTCCCCGGCTCTCTCGCCCGCCCTCCCGTTCTCCTCGGGCGGCGGCGGGGGCCGGGACTGCGCCGCTCACAGCGGCGGCTCTTCTGCGCCCGGCCTCGGAGGCAGTGGCGGTGGCGGCCATGGCCTCCTGCGTTCGCCGATGTCAGCATTTCGAACTGAGGGTCATCTCCTTGGGACTGGTTAGACAGTGGGTGCAGCCCACGGAGGGCGAGTTGAAGCAGGGTGGGGTGTCACCTCCCCCAGGAAGTCCAGTGGGTCAGGGAACTCCCTCCCCTAGCCAAGGGAGGCCGTGAGGGACTGTGCCCGGTGAGAGACTGTGCCCTGAGGAAAGGTGCACTCTGGCCCAGATACTACACTTTTCCCACGGTCTTCAAAACCCGCAGACCAGGAGATTCCCTCGGGTTCCTACACCACCAGGACCCTGGGTTTCAACCACAAAACCGGGCCATTTGGGCAGACACCCAGCTAGCTGCAAGAGTTGTTTTTTTTTTTATACTCCTGTGGCACCTGGAACGCCAGCGAGAGAGCACCTTTCACTCCCCTGGAAAGGGGGCTGAAGGCAGGGAGCCAAGTGGTCTAGCTCAATGGATCCCCCCCTACGGAGCCCAGCAAGCTAAAATCCACTGGCTTGAGATTCTTGCTGCCCGGACAGCAGTCTGAAGTTGACCTGGGATGCTCGAGCTTGGTGGGCGGATGGGCGTTTGCCATTACTGAGGCTTGAGAAGGCAGTTTTCCCCTCACAGTGTAAACAGAGTCACCTGGAAGTTCAAACTGGCCGGAGCCCACCACAGCTCAGCAAAGCTGCTGTAGCTAGACTGCCTTTCTAGATTCCTCCTTGCTATGCAGGGCATCTCGGAAAAAAAGGCAACTGTCCTAGTCAGGGGCTTATAGATAAAACCCCCATCTCCCTGGGACAGAGCACCTGGGGGAAGGGGTGGCTGTGGACACAGCTTCAGCAGACTTAAACATTCCTGCCTGCTGGCTCTGAAGAGATGAGCAGATCTCCCAACACAGCGCTCCACGCTGCTAAGGGACAGACCGCCTCTTCCAGTGGGTCCCTGGCCCCCATGCCTCCTGACTGGGAGACACCTCCCAACAGGGGTTGACAGACTCCTCATACAGGAGTGCTCCAGCAGGCATCTGGCAGGTGCCCCTCTAGGACGAATCAGAAGAAGAAGCAGGCAGCAATCTTTGCTGTTCTGCAGTCTCTGCTGGTGATACCCAGGTAAATAGGATCTAGAGTGGATCTCCAGCAAACTCAGCAGACCTGCAGCTGAGAGGCCTGACTTTTAGAAGGAAAACTAACAAACAGAAAGGAATAGTATCAACATCAACAAAAAGGACGTCCACACAGAAACCCCATCTGAAGGTCACCAACATCAAAGACCAAAGGTAGATAAATCCACAAAGATGAGGATAAACCAGTTCAAAAGGGCTTAAAATTCCCAAAACCAGAACACCTCTTCTCCTCTAAAGGATCACAACTCCTCATCAGCAAGGGGAACAAAACTGGACGGAAAATGAGTTTGACGAACTGACAGAAGGAGGCATCAGAAGGTGGGTAATAACAAACTCCTCTGAGGCAAAGGAGCGTGTTCTAACCCAATGCAGGGAAGCTAAGAACCTTGAAAAAAGGTTAGACGAATTGCTAACTAGAATAACCAGTTTAAAGAAGAACATAAATTACCTGATGGAGCTGTAAAACACAGCACAACAACTTCGTGACGCATACACAAATATCAATAGTTGAATTGAACAAGTGGAAGAAAGGATATCAGAGATTCAAGACCAATTTAATGAAATAAAGTGTGAACACAAGATTAGAGAAAAAAGAATGAAAGGAATGAACAAAGCCTCCAAGAAATATTGGAGTATGTGATAAGACCAAACCTTCGTTTGACTGGTGTACCTGAAAGTGATGGGGAGAATGGAACCAAGTTGGAAAACACTCTTCAGGATATTATCCAGGAGAACTTTCCCAACCTAGCAAGACAGGCCAACATTCAAATTCAGGAAATACAGAGATACTCCTCGGGAAGAGCAACTGCAAGACACATAATCTTCAGATTCACCAAGGCTGAAATGAATGAAAAAATGTTAAGGGCAGCCAGAGAGAAAGGTCGGTTTACCCGTAAAGGGAAGCCCATCAGACTATCAGCAGATCTCTCTGCAGAAACCCTACAAGCCAGAAGAGAGTGGGGGCCAATATTCAATATTCTTAAAGAAAAGAATTTTCAACCCAGAATTTCATATCCAGCCAAACTAAACTTCATAAGCAAAGGATAAATAAAAACCTTTACAGACAAGCAAATACTGAGATTTTTTGCACCACCAGGCCTGCCTTACAAGAGCTTCTGAGGGAAGCACTAAATATGGAAAGGAAAAACCAGTACCAGCCACTGCAAAAACATACCAAATTGTAAAGATCATCAACAGTATGAAGAAACTACATCAACTAATGGGCACAACAATCAGCTAACATCATAATGACAGGATCAAATTTATACATAACAATGTTAACCTTAAATGTAAACAGGCTAAATGCCCCAATTAAAACACAGAGACTGACAAATTAGATCAAGACTCAAGACCCATTGGTGTGCTGTAGTCAGGAGACGCATCTCATGTGCAAAGACTCACCAAGGTCTCAAAATAAAGGGATGCAGGAATATTTACCAATCAAATGGAAAGAAAAAAAAATAGTGGTTGCACCCCTAGTGTGTTATAAAACAGACTTTAAACCAACAAACATCAAAAAAGACAAAGAAGAGGATTACCTAATGGTAAAGGTATCAATGCAACGAGAAGAGCTAACTATCCTAAATATATATTCACCCAATACAGGAGCACCCAGATTCATAAAGCAAGTTCTTAGAGACCTACAAAGAGACTTAGACTCCCGCACAATAATAGCTGGAGACTTTAACACCTCACTGTCAATATTTGACAGATCAATGAGACAGAAAATTAACAAGGATATTCAGAACTTGAACTCAGCTCTGGACCAAGTGGCTCTAATGGACATCTACATAAATCTCCACCCCAAATCAACAGAATATACATTCTTCTCAGCACCACATCACACTTATTCTAAAACTGACCATATTATTGGAAGTAAAACACTCTTCAGCAAATACAAAAGAATGGAAATCAGAACAAACAGTCTCCCAGACCACAGTACAATCAAATTAGAACTCAGGATTAAGAAACTCTTCAAAACTGCTCAAGTACATGAAAACTGAACAAGCTGCTCCTGAATGACTACTGGGTAAATAATGAAATTAAGGCAGAAATAAATAAGTTCTTTGAAACCAATGAGAACAAAGATACAATGTACCAGAATCTCTGGGACCCAGCTAAAGCAGTGTTTAGAGGGAAATTTATAGCACTAAATGCCCACAAGAGGAAGCATGAAAGATCTAAAATCAACACACTAACATCACAATTAAAGAACTAGAGAAGCGAGAGCAAACTAATTCAAAAGCTAGCAGAAGACAAGAAATAACTAAGATCAGAGCAGAACTGAAAGAGATAGAGACACAAAAATCCCTTCAAAAAATCAGTGAATCCAGTAGGTGATTTTTTGAAAAGATTAACAAAATAGATAGACTGCTAGCCAGACTAATAAAGAAGAAAAGAGAGAAGAATCAAATAGACACAATAAAAAATGAGGAAAGGCATATCGTCACTCATCCCACAGAAATACAAACTACCATTAGAGAATACTATAAGCACCTCTATACAAATAAACTAGAAAATCAGAGGAAATGGATAACTTCCTGGACACACACACCCTCCCAAAACTAAACCAGGAAGAGGTCGAATCTCTGAAGAGACCAATAACAAGTTCTGAAATTGAGGCAGTAATTAATTGCCTACCAACCAAAAAAAGCCCAGGTCAAGACAGATTCACAGATGAATTCTTCCAGAGGTACAAAGAGGTGCTGGTACCATTCCTTCTGAAACTATTCCAAACAACAGAAAAAGAGGGACTCCACCCTAACTCATTTTATGAAGCCAGCATCATCCTGATACCAAAACCTGTCAGAGACACAACACCAAAAAAATTTCAAGCCTATATCCCTGATAAACATTGATGCAAAAATCCTCAATAAAATACTGGCCAACCAAATCCAGCAGCACATAAAGAAGCTGATCCACCATGATCAAGTCGGCTTCATCCCTGGGATGCAAGGCTGGTTCAACATACACAAATCAATAAACATAATCCATCACATAAACAGAACCAATGGAAAAAAACACACAATTATCTCAATAGAAGCAGAAAAGGCCGTCAATAAAATTCAACACCACTTCATGCTAAAAACTTTCAATAAACTAGGTATTGATGGAACATATTTCAAAATAATAAGAGCTATTCATGACAAATCCACGGCCAATATCATACTGAATGGGCATAAACTGGAAGCATTCTCTTTGAAAACCAGCAAAAGACAAAGATGCCCTCCCTCACCACTCCTCCTATTCAACATAGTATTGGAAGCTCTGGCCAGAGCAATCAGGCCAGAGAAAGAAATAAAGGTATTCAAATAGAAAGAGAGGAAGTCAAATTATCTCTGTTTGCAGATGACATGATTGTATATTTAGAAAACCTCCTCCTCTCAGCCCAAAATCTCCTTAAGCTGATAAGCGACTTCAGCAAAGTCTCAGGATACAAAATCAATGTGCAAAAATCACAACAATTCCTATACACCAATAATAGACAACCAGAGAACCAAATAATGAGTGAACTCCCATTCACAATTGCTACAAAGAGAATAAAATACCTAGGAATACAACTTACAAGGGATGTGAAGGATCTCTTCAAGGAGAACTACAAACCACTGCCCAAGGAAATAAGAGAGGACACAAACAAATGGAAAAATATTTCATGGACATGGAAAGGAAGAATCAATATTGTAAAAACAGCCATACTGCCCAAAGTAATTTATGGATTTAATGCTATCCCCATCAAGCTACCATTGACTTTCTTCTCAGAATTAGAAAAAAAACTACTTTACATTTCATATGGAACCAAAAAAGAGACTGTAAAGCGAAGACAATCCTAAGCAAAAACAAACAAACAAACAAAGCTGGAGGCATCATGCTACCTGATTTCAAACTATACTATAAGGCTACAGTAACCAAAACAGCATGATGCTGACACCAAAACAGATATATAGACTAATGGAACAGAACAGGGGCCTCAGAAATAATGCCACACATCTAGAACATCTGATCTCTGACAAACCTGACAAAAACAAGCAATGGGGAAAGGATTTGCTATTTAATAAATGGTGTATGGAAAACTGGCTAGACATATGCAGAAAACTAAAACTGGACCCCTTCCTTACACTTTACACAAAAATTAACTCAAGATGGATTAAAGACTTAAATGTAAGACCTAAAACCATAAAAACCCTAGAAGAAAACCTAGGCAATACCATTCAGGACATAGGCATGGGCAAGGACTTCATGACTAAAACACCAAAAGCAATGGCAACAAAAGCCAAAATTGACAAATGGGATCTAATTAAACTAAAGAGCTTCTGCACAGCAAAAGAAACTGTCATTGGAGTGAACAGGCAACCTACAGAATGGGAGAAAATTTTTGCAATCTATCCATCTGACAAAGAGCTAATATCCAGAATCTCTAAGGAACTTAGACAAATTTAAAAGAAAAAAAACAAACAACACCATCAAAAAGTGGGTGAAGGATATGAGCAGACACTTCTCAAAAGAAAACATTTATGAGACCAACAAACATATGAAAAAAAGGTCATCATCGCTGGTCATTAGAGAAATGCAAATCAAAACCACAGTGAGATACCATCTCATGCCAGTTAGAATGGCAATCATTAAAAAGTCAGGAAACAACAGATGCTGGAGAGGATGTAGAGAAATAGGAATGCTTTTACACTATTGGTGGGAGGGTAAATTAGTTCAACCATTGTGGAAGACACTGTGGCAATTCCTCAAGGATCTAGGCCTAGAGATACCATTTGTCCCAGCAATCCCATTACTGGGTATATACCCAAAGGATGAACAATTAATCCACTATAAAGACACATGCACGTGTATGTTTATTGCAGCACCGTTGACAATAGCAAAGACTTGGAACCAACCCGAATGCCCATCAGTGATAGACTGGATAAAGAAAATATGTCACATATACATTACGGAATACTATGCAGCCATAAAAAAGAATGAGTTCATGTTCTTTGCAAGGACATGGATGAATCTGGAAACCATCATCCTCAGCAAACTAACACAGGAACAGAAAACCAAACACTGCATGTTCTCCCTCATGAGGGAGAGTTGAACAATGAGAACACATGGACACAGGGAGGGGAACATCACACAACAGGGCCTGTTGGGGGGTGAGGGGCTAGGGGAGGAATAACATTAGGAGAAACACCTAATATAGATGACGGGTTGATGGGTGCAGCAAACCACCATGGCATATGTATAGCTATGTAACAAACATGCACGTTCTGCACATGTATCCCATCACTTAAAGTATAATTAAAAAAGGTAACTTTGCAAAATATTTAGAGAGATTTATTCTGAGCCAAATGTGAGGACCATGCCCTGTGACACACCTTAGAAGACCTTGAGAACATGTGCCCAAAGTGGTTTGATTGCTCTTATATCTAATGTCTTAGAGAGACATTTGACATCAATCAATACATGTGAGATATGTGTTGATTTGGTCTATAAAGACAAAACAGCAAGAAGTGAGGCAGTGTGGGGAGGGGATTACAGCTTACAGGTGGATTCAAAGTTTTTCTTATTGGCAATTGATTAAAAGACTTAAGGTTTTATCTAAAGACCTGAAATCAGTTGAAAAAGTTTCTAGATTTAGAGAGCGGGCTTTGGAGAACAATATTCTTATTATGCAGATGAAGTCTCTTATGTGGCCACCCTTAGAGGCAATAGATGGCAAGTGTTTTCTATTAAGACCTTTAAAAGATGCTAGACTCTCAGTTAATCTCCTCCATATAACAAAAACACCTGGAAAGGTAAAGCGATTCTCTACAGAATGTAAATTTCTCTCACAAAATATAACTGTGCAGGGCAATTTAAAATATGTCAAAAATATACTTTAGGGCAAAAGACTTTGATTCCTCTCAAGGCCTGCTGTCATGTGATGCTATTCTTGAGTCAGGTTAGAATTTGGTATCTTACTGCTACAAAGAATCTGTTTTCTGAGCCTTAAGATCTGTTTGAATGAAAATGCTGGTTAGTTGTGCTTGAATTCCAAAGGCAGGAGTGCATAATGAGGCATTTCTGATCCTCTCTTGCTAACATGGCCTAAACTAGCTTTTCAAGTATCTCTGGAACTCCTTTTTGAAGAGGAAGGGTCCATTCAGCCAGTTGGGTTGCTTAGAATTCTATTTTTAGTTTATAGGACATATATGAGACTTATCCTAATCAGGGGTATCAGAAAATATTCATTGAGGTAATCACTTTAAAGTTGAGACATGAAAGATGGTCCCAGATTCCTCCCTGCAAACCTTCTCTCCTGATACTAGAAGAAAAGTTACAAGAAACAAATGTTAACATTTCTTCTGTGTTCAAAATTGCCCCCCATTAGGAAAATAATTAAACTTGCAAGACTTATCTTTAGAAACAAGTAATCTAGTTGATTTCTAAAGTCCTTTTACAAACCCACAGATTCTGATTAGTTTACAGATTACATAGAACATCCCATCTAATGGGAATCTGCAATTAGCTGGATTCCCCTGCATTTGATTTTTAAATGTTGAATTTATACAGATACATAACAGTTCAAAACCTTTATGTGGTACATGTGATATTTTGATAAAATAATATGTGCAGTGATCAAACCTGGATAACCGGGATATCCTTCATCTCAATCATTGATTATTTCTTTGTGTTAAGGACATTCTAAATTTTCTCTTCTAGCTATTTTCAAATATACAATAAATTATTAACTGTAGTTGTCTATGTACCATTTTAGCATTCCCAACAGCAGTAAGTGAAAGTTCCTGATTTTCAGCTTTCTCTTCACCATTTGGTATTGTCTATATTGTTTATTTTACCCATTTTAGCAGGTTAGCAGTATTTTTTGAATATTAAATGTACATTTACCTAATAAAAATCAAACTGATCACTTTTTATCTTTACTTTTAGATGTGGTTTCTCTTCAGGTCTTTGCCCATTTTAAAAATAAATTTTGTGGTTTTGTTTTTGTTCAATTATAAGTCAATTTATATATTTGTGATAAAAGCCCTTTTCCAAATATTGGATTTGCAAGCAAATTCTCCAAATCTATGGCTGATCTTTTCAGTCTCAGTTAAGGGTTTATTTTCAAATATCTAGGTTAGTTTGTCCATCTATGAAAAGAGGATAATCTTAATTCTAAATTCTTAGAATTATTAGAATAATAATGTAAGTTGAAATTATTCCAGTATCTGGCCCTTCACAAGTTTTAGTATAACACCAGTGAGAAAAATTTGCAGATTGTTCTGTGTAGACCAGAAATCAGAAGGTGATAAAGGGGCAATTAGATTTGAATAATCCGGAGATATGAAGTGTATTTGGTATTCACCTCCTTCTATTTCTCTATGAAGACAAAATGGATAGATGACCTCTCCATGTGAAATGGGACACATAAGTTTTTAAGATGATTCTGAAAGAAAGTTCCTTATACAATCACTCAGGTGATGTTCCAAACACAGGGC
This sequence comes from Homo sapiens, assembly GCF_000001405.40. Classification (NCBI taxonomy): domain Eukaryota; kingdom Metazoa; phylum Chordata; class Mammalia; order Primates; family Hominidae; genus Homo; species Homo sapiens. The sequence goes on from NC_000015.10 coordinate 20,637,421, forward strand.
TGTGGAGGGGATGGTGGCTGCCGGTGGTTGCTGTCAGCCACAGGGTTGGTTTGTTTCCCACAGGTTCCAGAAATAGTTTCTAATAACAAATGTCATATTTTGTTTAGAATTGATTTATTTTTTATAATTTATTTTCTCCCTGTAGGCAGCACTCAGAAGTATGTTCTCAGAATAATTCCTGATCCTCTGTGAGTTCCTGGTGCAGCTCCTGGAGGCAAAGCCTGCATGGGGGAGGGAGCCCTCCTCACATGCAGCCCTGAGGCTGCCACGTCACTTCACCCACCGTTGCCCTTCAGTCACTTCCTGAACACTTATGAGTTGATCTTCCTGAAACATGTGGTATTTGGCAGTGTCTTTCCCAGGTAAGATAATACTTCCATTCTGTTTATCCCTGCAGGCACCTGTCCCTTTCTGGAATATAAATTGGTTTCGATTGTGTGGTAGTGGATAAGTGGGGGGAGGAGGTTTGTGTGCATCTTGTCATCTTCCAGAGTGCACCCCTCATGGGGTTGACAGTGACAAGCATGCAGATGGGCTTGCTCAGCTGGAAGATGACAGGCATTTTGGTAACCTGTGACCCCAGTGAGGCTCTCTCGCTGCAAGATCAATCAGGCTCAGGCCTCTGGCTAAAGTGCAGCCAGCAAGGGGTCCAGTGCCCAACCCTGAGAGCTCCTTCCAGGTACCAAACCACTTTCTAAGGGAAGCTTTTTTCCTGCCTGGATCCCATGCATGTGTTTGTATTTTCTTCACAAAGGCCTTTATCCAGAAACACCCCCCAAGAGCTTATAGTGTTTTGAATTCAACTGAAGGGCATTATTCATGAAAGCCCTCATGGCCAAAGTCTTCACTTCTCATTAAAGGACATTGATTATGGGATTCACCAGAAGCTGCTGGCCTTTCACAGGCACAGACCTTCCTCTACACCAGTGGTCCCCAACATTTTTGGCACCAGGGAACGGTTTCGTGGCAGACAATTTTTCCATGGATGATGGCGGTGAGTGATTATGGGATGAACTTACTCCACCTGCATTCATCAAGCATTAGATTCTCATAGGGAGCACTCAAACTAGGTCCTTTGCATGCCCAGTTCACAATAGAATTTGGATCCTAGGAGAATCTAGTGCACAGCTGATCTGACAAGAGGCGGAGCTCAGGCAGTGATGCTCACCCGCCGCTCACCTGCTGTGCTGCCTGGTTTCTAACAGGCTGCTGACCAGTTCTGGTTCACTGCCTAGGGGTTGGGGACCTCTGCTGTAAATGCTTGGAGACCTTACCCTCTGGGAAGGGGCATAGAAAAACAAGTCAGATGAGCTCCAAATCAATGTACATTTTATGGATTCTTGAGGAAAGAGTGCAAAGAGGAACGTCCCCACCCACTTTCCCTCTACCTGGCATCATTCCCAGTAATCCGCTTGAGGAACCCGGGGTGTTTCAAGATAGTTTAGGCTTGTTATACTAGGGGACGCCAGAAAAGGAAACAATTAATGTGTCCATGCGGGTTTGTCAGTTGCAAGTTATTACTTCAGTGCAGGGTATTGATCACGGAGAAGTCTGTGCGTATCTTGGGCAGGAATACATGGGAACTCTGTTTCTTCTACTCAAATTTGCTGTGATCCTAAAAGTGTTTTAAAATAAATGTAATGTAAAAAAAGTGGCAAAGACATTTTGGAAGAAATGTTGGCCACTTCTTAGAAATTATGTTTAGTCTGACCACGTGATAAAGCAATCCTGCTCCAAATGATTTATCCATTCGATTTTAAAATGTTATGTCCCCACAAGGCTTCCATGGGAGTGTTTGCATCAGCCTGATTGATTGCTGCCTTTCCCACTCTGTGAATTTTACTTACAGGGTGAAAGTTGAAAAGACTATTTCCTATATAATTAGAGTGTATACATCTTTCTATTGCTTCTTTTCCTCAATTACTTAACCCATTTTCTAAACACGTTTAAACCTCATAAATCCTGTCATCTTCTCACCCCCAGCACAGCTGCCTCCTTCCTCAAGGTTTCTGACACTCTCAGGATGTGGGTTTTCACACTGCGTGTCTTGCACATTAATATACGGCTGTGTCCTCAGATCTCAGGCTGCTCAGCTCCATGTAGGCTGTGTCTGTAGACATGTCCCAGGTCGTGGTGACTCTGCCCTGGAATTCTGTGCATATATTGTTTCACCATCTTCAGGATCAACACGTTCCATCCACTCAAGCCCTTTTCCAGGGGCCTGTCGCCCCCAGTGTATGTAGTGGAAGGTGAAGGTGTATCTGGGATCACCTTCACTGAGGACCCAGGTTTCCTCACCTCAGCCCCAGACTGCACCGATTGGACCTGGGAATGGGCACCTGTGGAGAGGACAGAGAAGTGGTTGAGACTCCACTTAACTGGACCCAGTCCCCTCATCAGCCCTGGAACTTAGGATTCTCTTCCCTGTGGCTGCTGCCACCAAGAGGAGGATCCTCCCGGTCCAGTCCATGGTGAGGTGCTGTGCTCTGGGGGCTTCTGTAGGGGAGGGATGTGGTTGTTGTGTGATGCTCTCTGGGCAAGGACAGATCTGTATGTACCTCGGTAGACAGCAGTGCATTTGCATATTCACGAGGCAGGTATTTCATAGCTCAAGCCACCTCAACCTGAGGAAGAAGATAGGTGACACACGGACCACGCCACAGTGGGATGCAGAGCTCCCTGCCCTGAACTTTGTTTAATGATATTTGCCCTCTGTTATGCTCAGAAGTCCATGAAGACAGAACTCGTTTTACAGAAAACCAGAATCTCCCAGGACATTGTCCTCAATGTCATTTCTTGTTCATATGGCACCCTGACAACCTGAACTTTTCCTGGGCCTTGACCTCTGCACATCTAAATTCTGGGATGAGTGTATCTTCCGACAGTAACACCCATTGAATTAATAAAACCACTCTTCAATTCCTAACTATAAATACATTTGAAAAGACTAGACATTTCTCCTTTTAAATGCTGTTTGCATTCAATTATTTGGTTAGGTATAGGCTACATATATAATAGAATACTTAAAGACACATCAGTACTTACTACATTCTTATTTAGATTTTAGGTTATTATTGCTTTGAAATAAAGAACATTCAATTCCTGAGAGAAAACCCCTCCCCAGCCTCCTGTGAACCTGCTCCAGGGCTGGATCCTGTGCTGGGTGCGCCCTGAGCGCCCCCTGCAGCTCAGCTCCTGCCCTGCAGGAAAGTTCCTGTCTGGGCTCATAGAGAATTCTCCTCCCAGCGTCTCAAGCACAGTATGAAGTGGCCTTGCCCTGACTCAGAATGCTCTTTCAATGGCAGCAATTGCTTCTCCCACCATCTCTTACAGTAGCAAATAGGCCTTAGAACACCCGACATAATCTACCGGGAGACCTCAGCACAGCAACAAGGAATCACTAAAGCCACCAGGGAGCCCCTTCCCTGGAGTTCTAGGTGCACTGATAGGGTCCGGACACATGGCAAGTCTAGGAACCGATGGGAACTTTGGGGCAGCCTCTATTTTTTTTTAGGATTCTGTGGTTGACGATCACATCAGATTGTAACTTTACACAAAGACCCTATGTCTCAAAGCACCCCCCCCCCCACACACACACATACACTCACAGTGGCACATTTGCACAGTAACGAGACTCAGATTTGCCCTCCTTCCAAGTGTCTTGTCAATGAAAAGTGCTTCCAACACTGGCCATAGTCCTGCTTGTGTTTGTTGTTGTTATTTTTTCCAGACAGAGCTAAAGCAAGCTCAGTATTACTGGAGATTTGGAAAGTGCCTTCATGTTCTCTTTGCCAGTTCTCACCTGGGAACCCTGCAGATGCCCCATGAGAAGTAAATCTAAGGCCATTGAGGGAGAGGCTGTGACCTTGGTCCTGAAGCTGTTGTTCTCAGAGGCTTTGAATCACTTCACTGTCCTTGACTTGTTCTCTCCCACTGCCTTTGGTTTCCCTAAGTTGTAGTGTTTGGACAGAGTCTGTGCATTATCACACTTTTCTCTTTAATCCAGATTAATCCTATTGGTGAGGAGGGGAGGTGATGCAGTGGACAGGGGAGCAGTATATGTTCTGGAAATTGACTTCCAATGTTTTCTTGCTGTGTTTTCTCTAGGCTGCACCCTTTACAAGGAGTCTCCAGTGGTACAGCGGATTTTCCTCCATCCTCCACTCCCCCTCCTGGCTGCAGCATCCACAGATTATTTTCTTGAATCTGACCCCAGTTGTTTATTAATTATACCCCTTTTCATGACACGGGAAGGCTAAGATGAAGCTGTCTGGGATGGAAAAGAATCCCTTCCTCTCACATAGAATAAAGATCTTGAAAAGTATTTTGTCTCTGTAGCATCTGTTAGGAGAAAGTTCTGGGCATATTTATCACAGAATAGTTCTCCTGACGACAGAGCTACGAGTGATTCTGTTTGGACTCTCATCTTGAGAACCCAGAATTTTCTGGAGGGAAATTCCATGATAGTGTGGGGTGTGTGGCCCCCCAGGAGTTCTTACCCCATCCCTGTCCACACCTGTCCTCCAGACATTTATGGAATTACCATGTTTCCGCCAGCTTGTGCTGTCAACTGAAGAATCACCCAATTTATTGATTTAGAAAGGGGACTTTATTTCTGAGAAAGGATTGAAGCTGCAGGACGGCCATCTTAACAGGCTGGGAAGCAAAGCCTCCCACAGAGACATTGAGCAGGTACTTCAAGACAGGGAAAGACGAGAAATGAATTCATGTGAATGCGTTGGCCAAGTATACACACTCAGCAGGCTATAGGAGCTGTGGATATTCACATGGCAGGCATGCTCTCAGGTCTAATAATCAGACAGACACGCTACATGCACTTCATGTTTGCTTTGGGGTGAGGACTTAAGAACTAACTGAATTACAGTTGGGCCCTGCACATCAAAAGGGCTTTGTGCAGGGGCGGAAAAAAACACAGTGCACAGCCTCTGGAAATTGGTGAGGCCAAGTCTATGGTCAGTGGTCTCTTTTCAGGAGAAAGTTACTGAAATCCATCTCTTGTCCAATCAAAGCTCTATTTATGGCTTGTGAAACAAGGTCACAATTACTCCATGTCTGAAGTTCCATGAACTGCAAATGTTTTAATATTGCTTATCTCAGGACCAGTGCTTGTTTAGCTGTTAGAGAAAAACAAAAAGCCCTGTGGCAGTTACAACATAGTCTATTTTTTAAGTGTAGGGGTGAGTGACTTAATCCCTGCCTGGCATGGCCTTAGGTCTTGTTTATAATTGGGTATCTTATTGCCACAGAAAGTTTGTCCCGTCAGTGTTATGATCTCTATTTTAATGTCTTTCTAGTTTTTGGGTCCTGGTTTTCCCTGCAATTTCATTTCTTCAATAGATCCAAGAAATCATTGATAATCAATTTTCCAGACTTTTATTATGGTAAGAATGTGGGTGATGATTGACATGCTCTTTACATATTAAAGCAGAAATCTGAAGTAGCTTCAGAGATCACGAGTGACGTGAAACAAGTAGAAGGAATCTCATCTCATTAAGTGTAAGTGGCACCACACAGATATAGCTCAACATACAGTGACACAGAAGAATCACAGCACATGACACATATGTAAAGTTTTTATGATTCTGAGCCTTTGCCCAGGAAGCTGTAACTCAGATGGTACTACAGGGATGGACTCAGTTCTCTCTCAGGTGATACTGTTTTGGAAGCTTATTTCCACTCTTGCACTGGATTCAGTAGCTGCACCTGGGCCCATACCCCTAAAACAAACTCTCATTAATTAAACACAAGACCCATCAATAAGAAAGTTGTCCCAGGGAAGGTGCACAGCAGGGACCTCTGCTTTTGGGAACCTGTGGCTATGCAGGCAGGGTCAGGAGTGTGACCCATTTTCTTCTCCTCCCCCTGCCTGCTGCACAGACAACTGAAACCAGGAGCTTTCCATTGCTAAGTATATAAAATACGTGATAGTTCCAGGGAAATGTAATACACATATGAAGGAATGAGGAACCTACATAAAATTAAAATAAAATGAATATATTAAATATACAACACTGTAAGAGATAATCACGGAAAAGACAACAAATATAAAAAACCTGTGTGTATACGTGTGACATAGTGTTCTTGTAAATTAAATCGTAATTTGCTTATGAAGTCCTTCAAGTAGGTACAGAATATTTGCCTTTTGATTGCCACAAAGATGAAGAATCTGGCACCAAGACTCCAGGGCCATGCTAGTGACTTTCCCTCCTATCTCCTGAGGACACGGTGCTTCCAACTCTGAGGATCAGGATACTGAAATTGACTGTGTGAGAAGAGAAAGTGGGATTTTCTGTGGGAAAAGACTGTTTTGAGCATAATTTTCAAGTAATAAATATATTCTACCAGGAGACACACTGCCATCATGCTGACGGTGTATGTTGCTTTTGACATTAACATTATGATCATCAATATTATTGGGGTGTTCCCTAGAAAATGACCAATTATCACAGAATTAACGAGTCATTTTCATTTTAGTTTTTTTTCACACTTCCAGCTAAATCCACTGAGTTTACTGAGTTTGAGCATGGAAATTTCAGGGCATGGGTTACAAATGATGGAGTGGAAGTTTTCCTGGGAGTTAGATATAGTTTCGCTAAAGGAGAACCAAGGATTTTGCTAGAAGCTCCCCTCCTGGTCTATCCCAGCACCTGCTCCTCAGTGTGCCCCTTCCTGTCTGACTCCTAAGCATCTCTGTGGTCCTGGACAATGCATGTCTGGGGCATCTGTTTCCTAGATGTGCATCCACAGGGCAGGCTGCTGTCCCTAATTGTTGAGAGGGAGCTTGGCCTGGATCCACCCAGGTGGCCCCACCCTGAGCACTGAGCTTCCTCCCAGCAAGGAGACAGGGTCAGCTGAGCGCCTCCACTTCACAGAAATTCTAGGAGGCAAATTCAGTCAAATCTCAACATAGTTTTGGCATGCAATCCAGCACCCATGCTCCTAGGTATTTATCTATCTGACTTTCAATGTATGACCACAAAGAAAACTACACATGAATAATCACAGTAAGTTCATTCATATTTGTCAAAACTAGGAACACTCAAGAAGTTCTGTAGGTGAGCAGATAAACAGTCGGCAGTAAATTCATAGAATAATATTCAGCAATTATAAACAAGAGCTATCAAACCATAAAAATACATAAATGAATTTTAAATGCATATTGTTAAGTGAAAGAAACAAGTCTGAAAAAGCTACATAGTATGTTATTTATTTGATATTCTGGAGAAGTCCAAACACATAAAGTGATTCTGTATTTGCGAGAAATTTAAGGAGATGATGAAAATGGGTAAAAAATAGATTTAAAAGGGTGATGAAAGTATTATGTATAATATTATAATGGTAAATATGTGATATGAATTTGTTGAAATCAACAGAATATACAGCATAAAGGGTTAATTCCAATTCACAAAAATATAAATAAATAGGAGATTAGGAATTCCAGGATAGAATGCAGACAATATAGAAAATATCTAATGTCATTACAAATGTATGAAATCAGAAGAGGTGCCAAGTGACTTCAGAAATAGTGTAGTCAATAAAAGAATAAAGAAAGTGCACGTCAGAACTGTACCCCAGCTGATGATGTTCCACAAAAGAGCAAAACATACACAATCTGGTTCCACTCTACAGAAATCCTGGAACTGGACTACAAAGGGAATAGACAGGGTGTGGCAGGAGGGGGTTCCTCACGGTTGGAGTGCGAGGTTAGGGACAGGAATAGAAGGTAGGTAATAAACATTCATGTGGTATTAACTTAGGGCAGATGTGTCAATATATTTGCAAGTTTAGCATAATATAGGTATAAAAATTAAATAAAAATAGTTTAGATGTATGTATATATATGGGTTAATACACAACACATACCTCCTAGAGTCATTACCTGAGAGGTTCTACAAGAAAAGACAGCAAATTAACAAAAAATACACCCAGAATCAAGATTTGAGTTTTGGTTCCCTTCATAGCAGAATGGTATGCAACATTTCTTGGAAAAATGGCTAATCCTAGGGCTTGGAAAGAGAATATAGGAGTAAAGTCTACAATTTCTCATGGTACCCAGAAAATAAGAAAGGGTTCCAAAATGAAGAATCGCTCCTTTTGCAAACCTTATGGTAACAAATATAATATTTATAAAAAGTGAATTAGGTAATATGTTAATGGAGAAATAAACATCATTATGAAATGCTATCTTAAACAAAAAATAAGAGAAAATATTAGTTTAAAAATAGAACTTATAGTCGATTTAAAAAAGCAAGACCAAACTCTTAGCTATGCACAAGAAAGTTACTTTACACATTCACAAATATAAAAGGATGAGAAAACATGGATTATGAAAATATGAACCGAAATAAAGCTATAGTAGCTGTGCAAATTTCAGACAAAATAGACATCAGAAAAGACTTTTAGGACTTAACAGGGATATTACATAGGATAAAGTTACCAGTTTTTTTTAAAGATGCCAAAAAAGACTTAACAAATATATAATAGAGGAAGAATACCCCATTCATTGTGATTTACAGAACGTGACAAAAGAAATAAAGATGTCAGTGACACCATGCACGGAAGGGTGTCCTGGGGACTGTGAGGCTTCTTTGTACTCATGGAGGGCACCACCAAGAACTTCCTCTTGAATTTCTCCCTGTAGCCGCCCACATCAGCCCTGGTCTTGGAGGCTGCTGAACCACGATTATGCTGCAATCAGTGAAGGAAGCTGAAATTGTGAAAGTGAAACACCATGGCTGGTCATGTGCCAGATGATGTTGTGTTCTGCAAAGTATCTCCAATCCTGGGTTGGATCCAGTAGGTGCACTTGGGCACCCAAACCGGAAACAGGGATTCTTGTTCCTTAAACACAAGACATTCCAATGAGAAAGCTGCTCTCAGATGAGTTGCAGATCAGGGAGGAGGAGATGGAGGTGTCCTTGGCTTCCCAGAATTGCTGAAACTTGAAGATCAAGGCCACCTCTGAGAGGCAGAGACCCACTTGAGTACATGGCATCAGCTCTGTCTTCAGGAATCTTTGGCTGTGTGGGAGGATAAAGGATATGATTTCTTTCTTTCTCTCACCCAACGTGCTTCAGAGACAATAAAATGGAAAATTAAATAAATATGTTTTCTTTCCATGTTAGGGGAGAGAACATGTATAATTCATGGCAATACAAGTGCTCACTTCAGAGCCTGCAGGAGCAGCAAGTGCACAATTGACGGTCGCAAGTACTCTACCCCAGGAAGCAGATGCCCTGAGATCATCCCGAGTCCTGCCCTCTGGATGCCATGCATCTGTGGGACATGGGCTTGTGCCTGGGATCTTGTAGCTAGTGTGGAGAGCTGAGCACAGCTCCACTCCTCCACACTGTGTGACCTAGGATGTGGTCTCTTCCTCAGAGCTTTATTCTAATAAGGTGTTAATATAAAATAGCAGCAGTAACTTTATCTGTAACGTTTTAGGTAGGAGCCAGTGCTGTTCAGAATCGTTAACCACCGTTGCTGCCTCCACCCTTAGAAACCGGAAAAATACCTGTGTGACCTGTCATCTCAGGCCTCAGATGACCACATTGCAGAGAGCACACCTGCTTTGTTTCTGTCACTAACATTGTATTGGATACTGGAAAACATGTGTACCTGGTTATAGAATGTATCTTAATTAGGTTATATTGGATAAAATTAGAATTAGTAGGTGACACTTAAAACTTAGCTGAGGGGATTTCTAAGCAAAGTGTGGATGGTGTGTTTTGATTTCTCCTTGCTTAATATAATGAGAGGAGATAGATAAATCAAAGAGGAAACTATTGAACAATGTGGAATGAGGTATAAGGAAGGAAGGCTCTCACATCTTCTGGAAACCCCATAAACTTTTAAAAAATAAAGGAACTTTAAGACACATTTCTACATTCTAGATACATGACTAATATAAACTTGGATTTTAGTGCAAAAAGAGGTTAATTTTCACAGAAGATGAAAATTAATTAGATGAATATTCATACACAATCTACAATTTTGTCTTTACATATTTTTGAAATTTAAATAAATTGCATCAATATTATGTATCCTTCTGCGACTTGCTTTATGTTTGGTTTGTGGAAGGGGAGTTTACATCATTCATTTTCAGTTCCGAATATATCCAACTGTATGAATATATCTTATTTATCTGTTCTCCTGTTCTGTGTTGTTTCCAACTTTTAATTAATATTAACAATGTTATATTGAACATTGTTCATACACATGAGAGTTTCTCTGTGTCAAGGAGAGAGTTCCTTAGTCATAGAGTGTAAGTATCTTTATCCTTTTTAAAAATTGTAAATTATTCTTCAATCTGATTGTACCAGTATATAATTCCACCAGTGGTTGGAGAGAATTTCCACTGATGTACATTCTTTGTCAAACACCTGATACTGTCAAGTTTTAAAATTTACCATCCTGATGAGCATTAAATGCATGTTTTATTTGCACTTTCTTGATTACTACTGAAGTTGAGTATATTACCCATATGTTTACTGCTAACTCAAGTTTCCTCTTCAGTGAATCATCTGTTTATATTCTTCATGATCCTAACAGATATTCTTTTTCTAATTTATTTGCACGATTTTGCATATGTTTAGGATACAAATCCATTGTATCCTAGATAAACTGCAAATATCTTCTTTCACTTTGTGCCTTGTCTTTTCACTTTTTATGGTATCTTTTAAAGTACTTTTTATTCTAATGGTCAAATTTATCTTTTTCCTGTATGATTTATGTGTACTTATTGTTTTAGAAATCCTTCCTTAATCCAAGGTGATAATACTATTATCCTGCACTTTCGAAGAGTTTTAAATTTTGCTTTCACATTTTTACTAGCTTTACTGAGGTATACTACACATACCGCAAAATTCACACACTTTGTAAATGAACAATTGACTTTAAAGAATTACATAGAGTCATGCCACTATCATTACAATAGAGTTGTAGATCATTTTTATCATCCTAAAAAGTTCCCTGTGCCCACTGGCAGTTAATTCCCACTCCCATTGCTAGCCCCATTTAACCACTTATTTGCATTCTGGACATTTAATATAAACAGAAGCATACAGTATACAGTTTTTTTGCATCTGGCTTCTTTCACTTAGCATTAATAGTTTTAGGACTCATTATGCCACAGTATGCATCGGCAGTTTGTTTCCTTTTAATTGCACAATAGTATTCCATGTATGGCCATAAAACATTTGGTTTATCCATTCATCAGCTGATTGACTTTTGGATTGTTTCTAGTTTGGAGCTATTATTAATAATAGTACTGGCTGGGCACACTGGCTCATGCCTGTAATCCCAGCACTGTGGGAGGCTGAGGTGGGCGGATCATCTGAGGTCAGGAGTTCGAGACCAGCCTGACCAACATAGTGAAACCCCGTCTCTACTAAATACACAAAAAAATTAGCTGAGTGTGGTGGCGCACACCTGTAGTCCCAGCTACATGGGAGACTGAGGCAGGAGAATCACTTGAACATTGGAGGTGGAGGTTTCAGTGAGCGGAGATTGTACCACCATACTCCAGCCTGGGTAACAGAGTGAGACTCCATCTCAAAATAATAATAATAATAATAATAATAGTACTAAGAATATTCATGCAAAGTCTGGCTATGAACATGTTATCACTTCTTTTGGATACATTCCTAAGTATTGTAATACTTTTTAAGAAATTAGGAAATCCTTTTGGAACATGGCTGCAGGATTTTGCATTCCATCAGCAATACATAAGCATTCAATAAGTAGTCTGTGCTGTGGTTTTGTTTTCATTCAGTTCTAACTAACGTCTAATGTTCTTTATTTCTTTTTTGACTCAAGAATTAGTTATGTTCTTTACCTCCAAATACCTTGCAATTTCTCAAACCTCTTTCATTCAAATTTAATTGTGTGGTCAGGTAATATACTTTGAGTTATTAGTTTTTAAATTTACTGAGACTTGTTTTATGTTTTATAGCCCAACTCATAATACATTTTGGAGAAAGCTGCATGTGCACTTGAAAACAATTTTGCTAGCTTGAGGTGGAGTGTTTTATAAATGCCAAAATATTGCCCAATAGGATGTCGAACAGGGGTGGTGAAACCAGGCTTTCATTATTTGTTAGTTATTCAAAGGGGATGCTTCTAACATTTCATTACTAAACTGGACTGTGGAAAGCTTTCAGTAGATGTATGTTACCAGATTTAAGAAATTATTTTCTATTTGTGGTTTGCTAAAAATTTTTATGATGAATGATACTGAATTTTATAAAATTTTTTGCACACATCATAATTATATAGCCATTCTCCTGTTAATAAATAGAGGAAATGTTGTCCTGATGTTAAACCACCTTTACATTCTATCACTACCCTCAACTTGGTTAAGCTGTATACTTTTAAAAAGTAACCGATAGACTCATGTTCATAGGGGAGATTGACCATAAATTTCCCTTATAATTCCCTTGTAATTGGATAATCCATATCCAATTTTGGTGAATAAAATTTCATCTAATTTTATTAGGTGAAACAGTGGCTGATTCCTTCTTTATCTAGCTAGGCATGGGAAATTATAAGTGAAAATACAGATTTTTGGCCTTGCCGTTACTCTGTTTAATAGTCTCGCTTTGTGTTTCATTCCCTTCTGCCCTTCATTATTTCTTTTGCCTTCTTAGGCTGACAATTAATGAGGTAAGCATAACTGAGAACCTAGAAAAATGAAAATCTAAGTACCTTTCTGCTTTCAATATAAATGTTTACAACTATGAATTTTCTCTAATATCATTTAGACCTAATCTCACAAGTGTAAATATACATATTTTTTAACATTTTTACTGCGTTTTATAATTTGCATAATGAATAACTTCTTGTTATAGTTATTTAGAAGACACATATTTCTATTTTCTAACTTTAATTTTTGTCATTGATTTCTTGTTTAATTGCACTGTTTGCAGAGAAAGTCATCTGCATGACAATTTATTTAAATTTATTAAGCCTCCTTTATGGCCTCATTTAAATAATTTCTATAGTTCTGTGTGCTTAAAAAGAATGTGTATGATACTCAAGCCAATGGATTTTTTTTTTTCAAATTATACTTTTGAGATTTTTTGTAACTGATCTTTTAAGGAGAAAAATATGTTAAAATGTGTAAAATACTCTTCCAAATTTAGTCAATAATAGATTTCTATAACTCACCTACACTAAGTGTATATGCATTTGAAACTGTTTTACGTTCCTAGTGAATTATACCTTTTTCATAATATGGTGCCCCCTTCATCCTCATTAATTTTTTTGCCTTAAAATTTTTATATATTTAAATAATGCAATACCAGCTTTTAACATTTAATTTTTAGAATAAGTAGTACATTTACTTAGTTAAAAATATATGATGACATAAAAAGATACACAGAGAGATTTTACAACTCATCCGTTACATTTACACATCACTCACAGCTCCCCCATACAAGTGAACACTTTATGATTTCGCATTTCCATACCACTTTCCCCTTCTCTTTTAAACGCACTTCATTTTTAGAGCAGTTTTAGGCTCACAGTAAAACTGAGCAGAAAGCAGGGAGTCCCTATGTCCCTACCCCTACATACACACAGGTTTCCCCACTGTCAACATCCCTCACCAGAGTAGTATATTTGTTATAACTGCCTATTGACTTTTTAAATGCAAATAAAAATACATCATTTGTTCCATTTCTTTAACAGACAGCATATTTTTTTAAGTGTATCATCACTCTATTCATCAGACATGGCACCTTTATTAGCACTAAAATCTGCTAAGTATTTGGGTCACTCTGTGGACTGCACTTTGCTCTGTTTATTCACAAATATGTACTATATTGTTTTTATTAAATATTATATTTCTTTTAATATTATACAGCTAACTTCCCTTTGTTGTTCCCCTTGACCTTGTGTTCTGGAGTTTCACTTTGTGATAAGATTCCATGCTAATTTTCCCTGATTGATTTTACTTCCAAAATCTGAGAAATCAGCTCTTTCATCAATTTTGTAAAACTTCAGTAATTTACTTTGAATATTGCCTCTTCTTCATTCTCTCTTCCTCTTTTCTGTAACTCCTATTATTCATATTTCCTTTCCTTCTTTCTCCATCTCTCTGAATTTCATGTTTGTAATCTTGTTTATTGGCATTGAATTCTAGGTAATTTCTTCAGTTCTATTTCTCAGTTCACCAATTCTTTCTGAAGCTTTGTTGAATCTGTTTACTGTTTCCATATAGGTGTTCATTGTAATTATTACCTTTTCATTTCCACAAGTTACTTACGATTTTTAAATTACATGGTTTATTTTAAAATTACCTTGTTTTTAAAATCTTGTTTCTTTTAATATGCTTGATTTTCATTTCTGGCATATGAAAATTTCCTTTACTTTTGTGTGCACACCTATATGTTTAATAGGATTTTTGACATATTTTTATCCAACATTTGTAAGTTTTTAGTAGTTCAAAGTGTTTCAGGATATCTAGTTTTTACACCCATCAGTTTTCTCTTCTAAGAACTCTTAATAGTCACATGTGAAGTCTCTTATTTTGTAAGGCTTTATCTTTTCTCTCACTCTCTATTTTTCACCCATGCTTTGAGATCTTCCAGTCCACTCATCAGGGTGAACTGGTTAAAAAATCATCAGCTAAAAGAGTAGATTATTATCTTTCGTGCTCTATTTGAATCTCAAAAGCTCTTTGTATAAATGAAATTTAAATGTTCCACAATAGCCTCTACCATAGTTCTACTTCATTGGGTACATAGTTTGATGATTCTCTCATCCTGCTTCTGGCTAGTAGGCCCCTTTAGATGAGTTGCTATTTTTCACTATCCACAGAGTCAAGGTCAAATCTCATGGCTGTGAATTTTAAATGATGAGATCCCCACAGGTGGTGTCAGGCAAAGCACCCTCTAAACTTACTGACTTGTAGTATAAAACTTAGCAAGCTGTAAGTCCTGCACCATGAGCCCCTGAAGCCAGCATCGTAGCACTCCAATCTTCCTACACACCGACCCACAAAAGTTTAAGGACAAGAAGATTTATCCCACCATTTCAGATACTTCTTGGCTTTTTGTGGACTGAAATAGGTCAATTAAAGTTTGTCTTAAAGTTTTAAACTTTAAGTGACTGTCCGTTTCTCCTGTAATTTCTATTTTATGAATGTTTCTATTTTATCATTATGAAGAATTCTTCTTTATCTAACGGTTATTGCTTTTTGGCTTGTATTCTAATTTGTCCAATATTAAGATCATGATTCCTACTTTTTGCTTTCTTTGTACTTACATAATAAATCTTTACTCATCCTTTTACTTTCAACCTTTCAAAACCACTTTGGTTTTTTTGTATGTTTCTTGCATATAGAACTGGGTTTTATTACTGTGATCAATTGTGATATTTTTCTTAACAGGTGATTTATAAAAGCTTCTACATTTATTTTTTATGACAGCATGACTGGTCTTAAGATATGTCATATTTTATGTTATGCTTACTGATCTTTACAGATTTTTTAAGGTTCCATTACATATATTGTTCTTAGTTTTATCCATACAGATCTTTAATATTTTGGAAGCTCTATAATTTTATAGAACTGCTTATCTTTTTAACTATGAAAGAATAAGTAATCTTCCATCGGCTTAAAAAGGGTATTTCCTTACTATGAGAAATGTAAATGTCAGCATATTTACTCTTAATTTTTTCCTTTCATCTACATCATCAAATTTTAGTCAACAGGCCTACATTTGTAATATTTCATCTTTCCGCTTACATGGAAATTCTGACTCTTTGCACTTGCTCTACTTTCCTTCTTTTCTCAATCCTCTCCCAATTCATTACAGTTGAGTCATTTCTACATTATTAGCATATATAAAAAGTAAATTCTGGTCTGTCACAGTAATATGAACGTGTATTTTATTCTTCGTCTTATGGTTAAATTTATTCAGTGCTCACCAGCTGTCCTTAGCAATAGTTTCTCCAGTCATTCGTAGTTGGTTGGACTTCATCCCCAGCAATTTCCTCAAGATTTAGTCACAGAAATAATTTGCTGTATGGCTAAAAAATATTTGATGGCATTTTTTTTACTTAAAGGATAGTTTGGCTCCCACTTTCTTCATTTAAGTATCTGATGATTGTGGTAGTTTTTTGTACTGAAGGTTATTTTAGAGTCTAAAGCCAGACTCATTTTTCTCCTTATTTTGTGCACTGTTATACAAAGTATTCTTATATTTAAGTCCAGTAATACACCTTGATGCTAGCCACTCTAGGTCAATTTTCCCTAGCACACAATATGTCCTCTAAATAAGAATGGCAAAATCTAACATCAAGACTTCATTAAATTATAGATTTAAATATTTGTCTAGTTCCATTGTTCTGCTTTTATTTGGGAACTCCATTTATGCCATTATTTATTTATTTATTTATTTATTTAATTTTGAAACAGTCTCCCTCTACTGCCCAGGCTCTGGAATGCAGTGGTGCAGTCTCAGCTCACTGCAACCTCCGCCTCCTGGGTTCAAGCAATTCTTTTGCCTCAGCCTCCTGAGTACCTGGGATGACAGGCGCTCGCCACCATGCCTGGCTAATTTTTGTATTTTTAAGAGACGGGGTTTCACCATGTTGGCCAGGCTGGTCTCAAACTGCTGACCTCGTGATGTGCCCGCCTCAGCCTCCCAAAGTGCTGGGATTACAGGTGTGAGCCACCTCACCCAGCCGATTTATGCCATTATTGTAATTTGTTTTTCTCTCATGTCACTCATTTTCTTTCTAATCCTAAACTCACATTTTCACCTATTCATATGATTTGCTTTTTTCAGTTTTATCTTCTGTGTATTTCACTATGATACTAGCCAGGGTTTTGCCTTTGAGCAATCTCCAATTTTATTTTTTTGTGTATAGTTCTTTTCCTCCAATACTTGTCCAATGTTTTATTAGCTCATAATTAAATACTTCCATGCTATCTGTTTTAGTCTGTTCTCACGCTGGTATGAAGAAATACCCAAGATTGGCTAATTTATAAAGGAAAGAGGTTTAATTGACTCACAGTCCTGCATTGCTGGGGAGGCCTCAGGAAACTTACAATCATGGTGGAAGGCAAGGAGAAGCAGCCACCTTCTTCACAGGGTGGCAAGACGGAATAAGGGAAAGGAGGGGAAATGCCAAATGCTTATAAAACCATCAGATCTCATGCGACTCACTGTTACAAGAACAGCAGAAAAGAAACTGCCCCCATGATCCAATTATGTTCCCCTGGTCCCTCCCTTCACACGTGGGGATTACAATTCAAGATGAGATTTTAGGTGGGGGAACACAACCAAACCATCTCACTATGTTAACATTTCTAACAACTTTTTTTTTTCAGATGGGGGTGTTGCTACATTGTCCAGGCTGGATTCAAACTCCTGGGCTCAAGCAACCTTCCTGCATAAGCCTCCTGAGTAGTAGGATTACTTCTCCAAATTATGTTTAGTGGTTCTTTCTCAGAAGCTACTTATTTATTTTTAACTTATGACAGTAAATTTCTAAATCAAAATGCTATATATTCCATAGCAATATTTTTATGCTAAGTGCTATTCATGTACTGGTTACCTTAACTTTTTTTTTCCGTGTTTTTTATCTGATACATGCACTGATGATGTGCCAATTCTTTGATACAGTCTAATCTGCCTGGCCCATCAGTCTACAGGATGCTTCCATGCATATGTGTAAAAGGGACAAGGGTAACCTTTTTGCTTTCATAATCCAAAAACTTTCTCTTTCTCTATAGCCACAGAGATAGACTGCTTGCCACAAATACAGCTCATCTGTGTAATTCTTTGTGATATCTTCTCCTTTTCTGAAACCAATCTGATTCAAAAAAACTCTGCTATCAGGCATGATATATGTGTATCTATTATTTCAAAGAAATGATCTATTTTTTTATTTATTATTATACTTTAAGTTTTAGGGTACATGTGCACAATGTGCAAGTTAGTTACATATGTATACATGTGCCATGCTGGTGCGCTGCCCCCACTAACTCGTCATCTAGCATTAGGTATATCTCCCAATGCTATCCCTCCCCCCACCCCCACCCCACAACAGTCCCCAGAGTGTGATGTTCCCCTTCCTGTGTCCATGTGTTCTCATTGTTCAATTCCCACCTATGAGTGAGAATATGCGGTGTTTGGTTTTTTGTCCTTGCGATAGTTTACTGAGAATGATGATTTCCAATTTCATCCATGTCCCTACAAAGGATATGAACTCATCATTTTCTATGGCTGCATAGTATTCCATGGTGTATATGTGCCGCATTTTCTTAATCCAGTCTATCATTGTTGGACATTTGGGTTGGTTCCAAGTCTTTGCTATTGTGAATAGTGCTGCAATAAACATGTGTGCATGTGTCTTTATAGCAGCATGATTTATAGTCCTTTGGGTATATACCCAGTAATGGGATGGCTGGGTCAAATGGTATTTCTAGTTCTAGATCCCTGAGGAATCGCCACACTGACTTCCACAATGGTTGAACTAGTTTACAGTCCCACCAACTGTGTAAAAGTGTTCCTATTTCTCCACATCCTCTCCAGCACCTGTTGTTTCCTGACTTTTTAATGATCGCCATTCTAACTGGTGTGAGATGGTATCTCATTGTGGTTTTGATTTGCATTTCTCTGATGGCCAGTGATGGTGAGCATTTTTTCATGTGTTTTTTGGCTGCATAAATGTCTTCTTTTGAGAAGTGTCTGTTCATGTCCTTCGCCCACTTTTTGATGGGGTTGTTTTAGAAATGATCTATTTTTGAAATTTAAGGTGGGCCTCTCATCTTCAGAAACTGTACTTTCACTGACAGTTCCTATTTGCTATAATTGAACTCTCTCACCATGCTCTTTGTATTTTCTCTTCTCTTTAGCCTTAACAGCTTTTACCCAACCTTAGCAACTTTAAGCAGCTGATACCCATATTCTGGAGTTCATACATTTGCATCTATCTTGATAAGAGAGTACAGTTTTTTACTTCTTGTTGTATCATTTATACATTCTACAGGAAAAGGGGAAAATAGGACATCTTAAACACCATGTTTACACAGGAAATTGCCTGCATGTATTTTTAATTTTGTATTAACTGAGTTTTCGTTTTTTTTGTACATTTTTTAATGTGCTTTCTTGATATTTGAGGAGGTTGCATCTTGGGCTACAATCCTTTAACTTTCTCCAATCAATTTATTTTAATTAACTGAAGTTAAGTAAGTGATCTTTATCTCTTAAAATAAAAAGGGCATATGCTTCTTCACTCCCAGTACTCTATCACCAAGTGAACTTATATATATCTATATATATATATATGATCCATATATATATAGATAAATATATCCTTCTCTACAATCCTGGCTTTGTTTGAACTATTCCTTATATCCATAGTATATCTAGTCTCCCTTAATCATTGTTTGGTACCAAAATTTTAAAAATATTTAAACTTCTAGGCTATACAGCTTGTTAGACATGTCTTGTCTGAATTTTGTGCAGTTTTCATGATTATTACAAATAAGCGCGTTGCATATTTAAGCAAGCACCAAAAAAAAAGGGCAACACTGAGGTTTTCATAGGAACCCCATCTAGTAACATTTAAATTACAGTTGCACTACTTCCTTGGCTTCATTTGTAAGGAAATCTACTCTTAAAACTATATTCATACACTGGATAGTGTAGTACGAACTGCAATCACTAAGCCAGCAGTAGTTTCTTACACAAAAACTGTTCTTAGAAAGTATTCAAATTCTGTATTTGGGGAAAGAAATGAAGTATTCTAGCATCTTGAAGTCACAAAATTAATTAATAAGCCCTACTGTTAGAAACTAATAACAAAATACTGACTCAGCATGTAAGCATAAGATCAACTCTCAGAAAGACCTCAACATATACATGATATTTCCTTGTCAAGGAAGCTTTCCTTGAAATCATAGTCATATGTGCATCATTATATCTTGACAAAATATTTTATTACATCTATAGATAATGCTTTCTTTTCAGGAAGCATATAGAAATAAAACCTTGTTACTTAAATTGTAATCTTGTTCCATAATCTACTATTAATAAATTTTATAAAACACTCTTACTACTTCTACCACATAAAGCTATTATTTTCCAGTGTTAGATTATTCAAGTCAAATTTCATGTTACATTACATATAAAACTCATAAAAACATAATCTCAATAGTTATTTCTAGAATGCATTACAACAAATATCAATTTACTTCTGACCTAAATGCTTCAGAAAGTATCCCAGAACCTTCAAAGCTTGAACCCAAATACTTTCACTTTTAGAAGCCAATAAATTGTAGATCACCCTAAAAAATATATAAATAATGTTTAAAAACTTACTAATATTAAAAACAAAAATACACTACATACTTTACAAATAAATTATACATATGTGAAATATAAAACTTCTCTGAAGATTTTATTCTCAGGATTATAATTCCTTGGAAAAATTAAAAACTGGCATGCTTTAATAATTTTTCTTTAAACATGTCCTTCAACCATATACTCAAAAGGGCAATGTGACTGGTATTCATAAGTACTGCCTCCCAACATACTAAACACGATTTTCAGTTTTAAGACACATGCTTGTTTAGGCCACATCTCTTCTAAGAATTGGCCCCAACATTTAAACTTGATAACCCTATTTTCTTTCTTTTTTTTAAATTTTTTGTTCTTAATTTTAATATAGAGGTGAGGTTTTGCCATATTGCCCAGGCTAGTCTGGAATTCCTGAGTTCAAACAATCCAACCACCTCGGACTCCCAAAGTGCTGGAATTACAGGCGTGCGCCACTGCACCCTAACCCTCTTGTCTTGGTATGACTGATTAGATAATAGGTAGGCACCTGCCTAGTTAGTGCTCTTTTTTGAGAATTTGGAATGAGGTCTAAGAAACAATATCTCCTCTTTGCTGGGCTCTTGGATTCGAAAATTGTTTAAAACAGAAACTAGAACAGCAACGTTTTGTTTCTGCTCAGAAAGGCTAGTCAACATACAGAAGGAAGGATTAAACAGCTTACAGAAAGCAGCAGAGAAAGCAAACTTGTTTCCTAATAGCCCTACAATTCCTGGTTCCTACTCTAAGATTTTTTAAACAAACATATTATTCAGTTTTTACTTTAAAAGCTTGAGAAGTTTTCTGTTACTTGGAGCAAAATAGCCTCCACTAATATACAACCTAACCTATACAATCACTTCAAGTACTACATAAAAGTAGGGCGATATTCATTATAATATTCGTAAGTGTTTAGAAATTTTATTCCATATTTTTTCTATTTAAAAAAATTATTTGTTTCCATAAAGTAGAAGGGACAATGACAACTATATACACTGGCAACTAATTCTAGAATATAAGGTTCTTTAGGGGCTATAAAATTATAGTTTGCTTTATTTTATTAAATATTGTTTCTTAAAAAATAAAATGCCATGGTATATTTTGAGGTAAAGTACTCAGCTGAAGAAGAGAATCTAGTAAAAGATGCAATATAATTTTCATAATTTCAGTGATACTTACAAGGGGGCACAAATAGCTTAAACATAATGTCATTATTTTTAGTTTTACCAACAGCTTATACTATTAAAAAAGAAAAGATGTTATTGGTACTGTTTCTTTTTCTCTTTTTTTCTTTTATGCTTTGCATTTCATCTATTAAAGAATAAACTACAAGAAAAGTGATTATTTCCTTTGGAAGATTTTTTTTTCAAATCCCACATTCATAAATATGTATAGGTTTACACTGAAATCCATTTTCAAAACTTTTAGGAACCAAGATCAGTAATGAAAAAAGACAAGTTTGAGAATAGCAAAGTCAGACATGTCAAAAAAATACATTCAAGAAATCATAAGAAGCAACATTAAACAGCAAAAATAGTCTTGAGAACCAAAGTAAAACTCACAGTCTGGGCCAGGCATGGTGGCTCACGCCCGTAATCCTAACACTTTAGGAGGCCAAGGTGGCAGACTGCCTGAGTGCAGAAGTTCAAGAGCAGCCTGGGCAACAGGGTGAAACCCCGTCGCTGCTAGACACAAAAAAAATTAGTCGGGTGTGGTGGCACATGGCTGTAGTGCCAGCTACTGGGGACGCTAAGGCATGAAAATTGCTTGAGCCCAGGAGGTGGAGGCTGCCGTGAGCCGAGATGGTGCCACTGCACTCCAGCCTAGACAACAGAGCAAGACTCTGTCTCAAAAAAAACAAAGCAAAGCAAAACAAAACAAAACACAACACTCACAGCCTAAAAATGTGGTTACACTCAAATATAGAATTGGAAGTTCTCACAGAGTTTCTACTGCCTAGGAATAACTTTGAGTAGGAGGAAAAAAGTTATTAGACTCCACCCTGGGTCAAGAGAAATTACGACTAATGTTGAAACATGAAAATGTCTAAGGCCATCATACATGTATATATGTAAAGATGTGATACAGTATGAATAAGAAATTTGTTAATGAATGTTTACTTGTAATATACATTGTTACTAATTAATAATAATCCTAATTCATCTGCTTAAGCTCACTATATTCAGCCAGCAAATGATCTAAGCTATATAAGACAGGTAGTTGTCTATTCTTTTCTTTAAACATTTCAAGATATAAAAATATCACATTTTTAGCTGCTTAGTTCAGTGTTATCACAAGGGCTTCCTTAAGCTGAATTAGCATACCATCAGAACTAAACTCAGTTCATTCTTTTTGTTCAGATGTTATACTGAATTCCATTGTATGAATTAGAACAGACCAGAATTTTCCTCCCAAAATACTTCATATACAACTGTTAGCCTTTAATGGCTATTTTCTAGAATAAAGACATATAAATGCTTTAGACACTTTCAATATTTTCTATCTAATAAGCCTTTTTTTTCACCTTTTATACTATTCTGAACCAGCTTTCTCCCCATTTTTGAAGTAGAAAAGCTGAAGTGTCAAGGAAAGGCCGTTTTTTAATCTTTGTGATTGTTTTTAACATAGTGGCAACAATCTGAAATGTTCTGCTCATGGTCAGCCATGAGCACAAAGCCTTTTAATCTGTTGTGCTTAATCAATTCTTTCATACCATACATTTAAAACAGTATGTCAATCCTAAAGATCTTACCAAATAGCACTCTCATATGTAGGATCGTATTTCCAATGTGTCAAAACAATAGAATTATATTTCTGCATTTCATCATATTAGACAATCTAAGTTTAGTATCTTCCACAAGGGTAACGGGGATATCTTCAACTGGTTCACTAAATTTATCAGATAATATAATAAACAAAGCAAAATCTCAGGACAAGGACACTAATTATTGAATCTAAATATAAGTTCAGAAGAGTGAGTGTAATTGTACTACCTTATTAGATCAAACCATATGAAATTGCCATTATTTGGTAAAATCAGTTAAGTATCAACAGTTTCATATAGTTCAAACTCAAGAGTAAAAAATTATAACAGTTTTTAATCACTAAATGTATAATCTTTTTCAAATAGATTGGCAGGCCTTTGAATTATAAACTCAAAGGTAATAGTGATGTCACAAGGGAGATATGCATACAGAGATAGTGATCGCTTCTCTAATTTGAAAAGGAGTTCTTCAAGTCTAGAAAGTTGTTATCCATTGATATAAATGGCCAAGTAAAAAAAGCACTTAAAAAAGCCCTTGACAGTCACTGATATATTCTTTCCAAACTCTTTTTCACAATAAATCTGTAGAAATTCACTGAGTTATACATGGCATAACCTTGATATCCTGCTCATCCCACTAATTAAAACTCCAGAAAAATAAAAAGGAAGAATTCCTTAAGAAGCTAAATTATAGGGTTAAGTTCATAAAAATACTAACTAAGAAATTATATTTCACCTGTCTACCAAGTTACTTTTCAATTGCCACAACAAAAGTTGGTTTTGAATTTCTTTAGGCTTTGGCCTCTTAACTCCAGAACATCTTTCATCTCTATTATTTCCATTGCACTGCTACTGTCTCAGGTCATCATTTTTAATACTGATGAATAAAATAATCTACCTACGGATATTGCTACATCAGTTTGTCCTTCAACTCATGTTTCACACTGGTGATTGTAAATCTAACAAAATAGCAATCTGAGCACATTTCCCCTATTTAAAATTCTTTAATTTTCATCACCAACTGAAAAAAAACGAAACACTAAAGTTACTACCATCCTATGAACCTTCCAAAACTGGCTGTAATCTCTGTCTCAGGCCTAATATCATAAAATTTCATTGTATCCTCTTTTGGTAAAACATACCTTGCTTTTTCGTGTCTTCTTGAAAAAAAAATTGCTCTATTCACAATTTGTAATGTCCTTACTATAGCAAAAACAATTTACTCTTCTTGATTCCTGAGACTACTGTTTATACACTTCATCAGTTTCCTGAGTATTGGAGGATCAACAGCAGCATTCTCCATTTATACTCTCTTATGTGTAAGATGCTATATTTATTCAAATATTCATAGAATAGGAATTATTCTAGGAGGAACAACTGTGCTCCATTGACGTCTAATAGTAATACTAATATTATAATCATACCTTATTCCATTTCTTTGATTAAATACTGGTATCATTGAGGCTGGGTGTTCTGACATTAAAGCCACCAGTAACTGTAGCACATCATGAATATTTTCATCCTGCATAAATCACCAATATTGATTTAAATTTTACTCTAAAGATTGGCTTAAATAATTAAAATAAAAGGTCCATAACATGTCCTACCTCATGTATTGTAAGAAGGTAATTTAATATACTCTGAAGTTCATCTTCTTTGACCCTTTGATCTTAATTTTTAAAAAATATTTTATTATTTTACATCTAAAATTAAAATTTTAATTTAAAAGACATCAAAATAATCATTTTAAAAGAAAATAAGAGTAAGTTTAATGTAGTGATATTTGAATTAAAATCCCCACACATTTCACAATTTATAGACTATATTATTTCAAGTTAATTAAGTAAATATTTAGAAAATCTTATCAATTTTTAAGTCATTAATATTTGATTGACATTCACTATAAAAAGTTAGCCTATTTTGACCATCGAAGTATTCTTATGACTATTTTCTAATCATTCTTTCTTGAATACAAGTGCAAGACTATACAGTATCAATTTTTGTGTATTACCTCAAAATTTATATTTATTTTCACTTTGTTTTCATCTTAACATTTAAAAAATCCTACTACAATAAAATACATTATGTAAGCCTTCTTAAACTGGCACACAGACCATTTTCTAGAATAATGGTCAATTACTATAAGAATAAGGGCTCAATTCTTATTCATATGTTCCTTGTCCATTTCTGTCACATCCCTTAATAGGGAAGATTTCAGAGAGCATTTAACCAGAAGTTAGTTAAGTTCAATAAAGTTAATATTAAGATGTGCAGAATTTTGGAAGCAATTCATTAATTAAAGGTAGCTATTACTAATTTAACAATAATAATTTTAAAACATGCCAGAAATTCCTTTCTACCTATATACTGTAATTCTAAATTATATAAAATTATTTTACTTTTAGTATGAGCTGTTTCAGAAAAAGTAGCATAAATGCCCTCAGTGATATAATTTCTTTTTGTGATGGCTGGGGACCATCAAGAACAAAACAGAAAAAAAAGTAAAAATAAAAAATACAAGATATTAAATAAGCTTAATGCAGTTATGTTGGGATACTATGGCATTCTTGAATAATTATATTTATTAAAATTACAATATTTACATTAATGCTATAAAATTTTAATAATATATGGGTATCCAAAAATTAACTTTCAAATTTTTGGCAATTTCAAATTATTTACTCAATGTCTGATTTTGTGGAAAAAAGAACTTTTAAAAAAGTTGTAATATATTAGTATCCATTTATAAATGTATAATCCCCAAGTATTTACATTAATACTTGAATACTTTTTTCTGTTTTTATTACATTAATAGGTTTCCCAATATGTCTTCCATTCTCAATTAAACTTGTCTTCATTTAAGGACTGTCTCCATTTTCACCCCACACATTATTTAATAAAGCTCAGAAAAAGTGACACTGTTTTATTTTAATTATTTGTTTTGCAGCCTATTTCTTCTATGGCACTTGTATAAAGAAAATACATATTATGGTGGGCATTTAATAAATGCTGTGTCAATAAGTGAAAATGAGCATAAAATATTCAAATGTACATATCAGTTCTATCATAATGTACAAATTTTAAAGTAATTTCAAAATATCTAATTACTAATAAAATGAAAATATAAAATAATATATAATATGCGTAATATACAATAAAGTATACTTTTAAGAAATGTAGCTAGATTCATAAAAATCCTTTAACATTAAGCCTTTCTTGTAGCAACCAGTATTTATCTACTGCTTTACAAGTTTTAAAAGCATAATCCCTTCATGTATAATCTATACCATCTGCTTATTCACTTAATATTTACATGAAGATTATTACATCTGCAAGCAAGTTATTATCCAAAAAATCCATCCTGCCTATTATAATAAAAGAAATATTTTCCCTATTTCCCAGACTGCTCTCCACCTTTTATTGCCCCACTCCCACTAAGATGCACAGAGTACTCTTCCCCTCCTACTGACACTGGGTATTACTTAAAAAAAACTTTTCATTGTAAAATATTGCCTATGTACAGAAAACATACATGATCAACTTAATGAATTATCATAAAATGAACACCTGTATAAACAGTTCTTTGACCAAGAAATTGAACACTGACAGTAGCCTGACAGGGAAACCTGTCAACTATTGGTGTGCTGGTAAAAGAATTATCTGCAGAGTGGAGGGATGAGGTCCTGATTTTGAGCATTTACGTATTTCTGATTTCTATCATATTAATAATAATCTGATTTCAAGTTCAAGTTACCAATGGTTTAACAACCAGCTCATAAAATTCCTGAATATCTAACAACTGATTGTGTCCCCATCCTGCCCTGCATGCCAAAGCCCTCACCATGCTCCAGACCTCAGCTCTGTGCCACATTCCTGTTCCTGATCACATCCCCACTCCATCCAAGAAAAGACAGATTCTGTCTTAGTAATAATTTCCTTAATCTTACTATTTCTGCCACCACTTAATAAAATTGGACAAGTTTTATAACATCTCTGTACCTAAGATTTGTTTTCTTCTTTATTGTTAGGGTAAGAATAATAATACTGCTTGTCATAGGATGTCTTGTGAGGATTAAATGGATCAGCGTATGTAAAGAAATTAGACTAGTACCAGGCCCATTTTAATCATAATCACTCAAATGTTAGCAATAATTACTTTTATTGTATACTGCACAATACAAACAGCATGTTGCAAAGAAATATATATATTTGTGTGCTTTGTGTATGATATAAATCCATTTCTGCAAAATAAAATACAAACCGATTTATCTAACAAATATGAAACTCAATGAAAAAACAAATCCCAAAATAATACTATTTATGTAAAATATAGAAGCTAAACAATAAATTAATAATACATACATAAATAGCAAAAGAGTAAAGCATAGTAAAAAATAATAAGCACCCAAGTAAAGAAAAGAAATAACGTAAAATTTGGGATGGAGTGATTTCTATGACGGGGAATAGAAAAGAGATGTGGCCACGCATGAGAATATTCAGGCTCATTGGTAATGTTCTGTGTCTTAGGCTTACTGATGTTTAAATAGGGTTCATTTTACATTTATATTCATATTTATAACATGTTTATATATTACATTGATATATGTAATTATACCACTTTGTGTTCGTGATGTATTCAGAATAAAACTTTGAAACACCTATGTGTATGCATGAGTAAGTTCATGTTTGTATGAGCAGAGAAAAAGCAGCAGAAGGATATGCAAGACTGGTAACATTGGCTACCTAGGAGAGTAGTAACTTTTTATTCATAAACCTTTGTATTATTTCACTTGCTACCATGAATATGTATTACCTGTCCTATAATATTTTTAATATATCTCAATGTTTTTACAGTTAACTATATATAATAATAATTTGAGACAAAAGCGTTAAGTAAAAAAAAAATCCTACTTCTCAAGGTGAGTGCCTACACATGAACAGTTCTACGAAAACTAGTGTAGTGCACATTATCTTTAGAGTGTCCTTAAAAGAAAGCATTTGTTTAAAATGGTATTGAAAAATGCTGTCATTTAGAAAATGATACACTTCAAGTCAGAACCTTACATTCTACTATATAACAAAATTAATTTCAAAGTATTAAAATGTTAAAGTAATAATTTAAATGATAAAGAAAAATAAGTGCTCATTCCACTTTCCTGTCACTTTCACTTAAAATATATGTACTACTGGTTCTCTTCCTTTCCCTCTCTTTGATGTAGCTAGAGCCAGTGAGGCCTCAGGGACACGGGTTCTATGGAGGGAGCAGAGGCCCTGGTGATACCCAGGATCTTATAGAGCCAGAGGCAAGTGAGTCTGGAAGGACTTTCAGGGTGAGGGCCAAGGAGACAGTAGAGGTCAGGAGGATGGCCAGTGCCAAAGAAACAACTGGGGCTGAAGAGACAACAAGGACCATTCAGAGTCAAATCTGAGGGTATGATTAGAGATGACTAGCAATGTTAAAGCTGAGAAGGTTATGGCATGTGTATCAAAATATTGGTTTTGTAAAGTAGAATAAGAAAACATATAAATATATTAAAGACAATAGGAGCAAGACTTCTCACTATTGAAGAAGAAAGCTACACATTTAAGAAGTTTGAGGCTAGGTCGAGCCATGTGACTGGAATTGAAGGTACTGCTGTGAACTCATGGTTTTAATATAGATAAATCAGTTGAGATGTACCTATATACATAGATTCAAACATCATTTCCTAGATCTGTCCACTAAGAGAATGTAGAAGCAATGACATTCAAAAACCAAGAAGCACACCTCACATCCAGATCTTGGTTTCTAAAAACCATATCCACCAAGCAAACCAGGGCTTCTTGGAAAAATGGCTAATTTCAGGGCTGGGATAAGGAAAGTGTAAGAAAAGTCAAAAACATCTTGTTTCAGAAAGTAAGAAAGTATTATAAACTTATGGGCATTTGTCCCATAATCCATGTGAAGGGTCCTACTGGCCAAATCTCGAGCATCAAAATAATGATACAACCCAGGAGACAGATAAACCACAGCCCTAGGACTAAACCAATCAGGCCACTTGTTTTTGTACGTTTCACTAGAACAAGCCACACCTATTCATTTACATACAGTCTGTGGTTATTTCTGCAATACAATGTCAGAGCTGACTATGTGCAACAGAGACCTTATGGCTCCGTAAGCCTAAAACACTACCTGGCCCTTTGCAAAGAAAGTATGCCAACTGTTGATATAACACATTGAATACATGAGTCCATACTGATATAAAAGATGATAGACAGATAGATCAATAAACAGACAGATCGATAGATAGATATAGATAGACAGATAGAGTGGAGTAGTAAAACAAGTTCTTCCTTACAGTAGATATGCCAACTTAATCAATGTCTTAGAAAACATCATTTGTCAGTCATCATAATAAAGATAATTTTTAGTAAGAATCATCAGCACACTAAAACAGGCAGGTGAAACTTTGTTGAGGAACAGGATATTTATATAGTTTCAATGTATTTCTCCATCAAATACTTCTTAACTACCAAAGAGAAAGAAGTGATTTTTATAATGAAGAAACCTGGAAGATAATACCTTAATCAAATGTTTAAAGTTGACATCACTTGTAAAAGCACAACTCAACATCATGTGTCTCCTTGACATAATACAAGGAGACAGACAATATGACTTCTGTGTTATTTCTTGTAAAAATGAAAAACCTGCATCATCATGAACAAATAGAAAATTCAAATTTAAGGGTATTCGAAAAAATAACTGGTCTGTATTCTTCAAAAATGTCAAGGTCCTGAAAGACAAGGAAATAGTAAAAAACTATTCTACATTGAAGAACATTAAAAGTAACAAGGCAACTAAGCACAACATATGGTCCTCAACAGACTTAGGACAAAAGAATTTTTTTCCTAGAAAGGACCTTATTACTGTAATTAGTGAAATTTGAGTGGGGGTCTTTGAATTAGATGATAGTATTGTATTAATGCTAACTTCCTGATATTAATGGATATCCTCTGGTTATTTAACAAAGTGCCTTTACCTTT
Source organism: Homo sapiens (assembly GCF_000001405.40). Taxonomy (NCBI): domain Eukaryota; kingdom Metazoa; phylum Chordata; class Mammalia; order Primates; family Hominidae; genus Homo; species Homo sapiens. Next base: position 20,667,559 of record NC_000015.10, read on the forward strand.
CAGGAAATACACAATAAAGTATTTAGAGGTGAGAGGGTATCATGTCTACAATTTATTATCAATTGATTCAGAAAAAAATATGGGCATGTGTCTGTAGGTGTGTTTATATATATATAAAAAGAGCATGAGAGAATAGTAAAGCCTAAAGTGGTAAGATGTAAAATATTGAGAATCTACTGAGGGACATATGAGAATTCTTTGTGCAATGTTTGCAACTTTGTAACTTTTCTGTAAATTAGAAATTAATATTTTAAGGCAGAAATTATTATGTGTGAATATATGATTTGTTTAGACTAGAGAAAACTCTATCATAGAGTAGCATTTAAGAATGAGATCTCTGAGTCAGATAGATATGATCCAAATTTTGGTGCTGGTTGGTTTGCACCAACTTTCAGTTTCCTAATCTTTAAAATGAGGATGATATCAAAAACAAAGTTACATATAGATGCAGTCTTATGTATGGATATGAATATGTCTATTTATCTATAATTATATTATGTTTTATATATATATATATTACTAAACAAATTAACAGGTAGAGTGCTTGGCAGAAAAATCCAATACATTTTAGGCATTACCAACTTAAAAGCAATGGAAGAAGCCATAGAAGGACAAAATAACAGATCTGAATATAAATAACTTCTAAAGCCCCATTAATAAAATAAAAAGAGATAAAAGTAAGCTTGTATAAATATTAAAATAGTAAAATGGGAGGCCGAGTTGGGCAGATCACGAGGTCAGGAGATCGAGACCATCCTGGCTAATATGGTGAAACCCCTCTACTAAAAATACAAAAAATTAGCCAGGCGTGGTGGCAGGGGCCTGTAGTCCCAGCTACTCGGGAGGCTGAGGTAGCAGAATGGCATGAACCCGGGAGGCAGAGCTTGCAATGAGCCCAGATAGCACCACTGCACTCCAGCCCGGGTTACAGAGGGAGACTCCATTTCAAAAAAAAAAAAAAAAAAAAATTGGAAAATGCTATTTTTCCTTATCAAAGGGATTATTATAAAACTATAATATTCAATGTTATTGTGAGCACGCTAAAGGAAGTACTCTAACATACTACTGGTAAAACTAAAATAATATGACATTCCTGAAAAAAATTTAAAATATTTGTCATTAGCCCCTTTTTCAGTAATTTTAAACAAATCAAAGATGGAGGTAAACACATATATATATGAGAGAATCCTCTAATATGTATAAAATCAAAACTTTAGAAACAATGTAAATGGTACATCCTCTTACATTACTACATTGAGCTGAGAAAAGGACAAGATAGAAAAATTGAGAAAATCTCAATTTATAATTAAGAAGTTTAAATATTTTTATATATGTATGCAATGAGAAACACTGGAAGAAAACATGCCAAAATCGTATCAGTAATTATTCTTGGGGTTTGGGCCATAAATATATATCTTCTTCTGTATTATTTATTTTCTTTTTTTTGTATAATTAGAAAAACTGGCTATATTTTCAAAACAAAAAAGATATCACAGTGAAGAATTAAATTAGTTTCCACTACAGTCACAACAAAGGATAAATCTGGAATAAAAATATGAAAACATGTAACAATCTGAAAATGTTGAAAGCAACTGATGTACTAGAACACACTTACCAATATCATTTAACTGTTTTTAATATTATAAATGTGTCTTCCTGAATGGAAAAAGGCATACAGGCTAAAATAAAGACTATTGTTGCTTTTTACCTGATTTTATTCCAAAATAATTTAATATTGAAAAGCCCTAAACTTCTTTACCACAAACAATTCTCAATATGTCAGTTTGCTACATAAGAAAGAAAACATTTCAGTGATTTCATAGTCATGTACACGGCTCACACTTTAACAGTACTCAGAATACAGAATATTCATAGGCAAATGTAAATACAGTGGAAGTGTTATACATACCTAATCCTTTAGGTGTAATGCCACTACTGTCAGCAGGATTAATAACCCAGTAGTAATATTTTAAGGTGTGCATTATCTTTAATAACTGTTCCTATTCTGCATATGGTGGTGTAGATGGTAGCAGTTCCAATAAATTCAGCAGACAAATATGTATATAGGGAAAGTTGAACCTAATACAGAATATTAACAGATCATTAAAATGAACTTAAAATGCCTCAAGTGCTTATATTATAAATATGCATTGTTTTAATTTAAACGCAAATTAGTAAAGGCCAAGAAATGATCATTTATTAAGAGGTTAAAAATAACTTTCTTCTTCAATATTATTTATATTTTAAAAATATATAGCCAGGCGCGGTGGCTCAGGCCTGTAATCCCAGCACTTTGGGAGGCTGAAGCGGGTGCATCACCTGAGGTCGGGAGTTTGAAAGCAGCCTGACCAACATGGAGAAACTCCATCTCTACTAAAAATACAAAAAAATTAGCCAGGCACGGTGGCACATACCTGTAATCCCAGCTACTCGGGAGGCTGACGGAGGAGAATGGGCTGAACCAGGGAGGCGGAGATTGCGGTGAGCCGAGATCGCGCCATTGCTCTCCAGCCTGGGCAATGAGAGTGAAACTCCGTCTCAAAAAAAAAAAAAAAAAAAAAAAAAAAAAAAAATATATATATATATATATATATATATATAATCTGCAATTAACGTTTTCTAATAAACTTATTATAATAAGGTAGTCTAACAGCTGTGGCAATTAAATAATTTTAAAATGATTAATTTATTGAAATTAATCTGATAAAAAGATTAAAATATTTTAAAAGTCAACTAAAGCTCTTAAAGTATATTTCAGTAGCTTTCAGTGTATAAATTTCTTCATAGCAACAGAACATCAGTCAGCTAAAGCCTATCTGAAAACCTATACATTTTTGTCATATATCCTAAAAGTTCATGCAATTTCAAATTCTCCTCCCCTGTGGCCATAATATATATAGTTTGCTTTCACAATCTGACCATGTGAGCACAGAGATGGCATGTCAGACATCTTGCTTAAAAGAGTTCTCAAAATTAAGATTTGGGCTTAGGCAATAATAAATAACTCAGGGAGATATTATTAAACTGTAAAAGATAGCTCAAAATCAAAATATCCCTCATTATTGATTTCCACTAAGACTAAATTCTGGTATACAAAATAATAAGAATTTTCTGTTATTATCTGGAAAAATATTTATTTCATGTATATATTTATTTTTAAGTGAGTATTATTTACATGTAATGATATAAATTCTGCCTTCAAAATGAAAGCAATTTTCCAGCAAAATGATTACAGTCATAATACAATTAGTTATCTGTTCTCTTTCCTAGTCTTTCAAAAATTGGTATAGCAAATTCTCTTCATTGGAAAAGTATGTATCACATCTAAAGATGTTAGAATGCAGTGTTACACAAAGATTCTTTTTTACCTATAGTTTCATTTATTTTACTACTTATAAATATTTTGATCTCCTGATACTGCCTAACACAATTGCTGCAGATTAACTATAAAATAAGCTAAAATGTTCAAATGTTTTCCACTGGATACTTTAGATCCAGCAACTATAATGTATAACATTACACTAAAACAAACTGAATAAGTATAAAACTCATACCTTTGCAGGTGTATGTATCCAGATGGCTGGGTTAATAAACAAAATATGATCACAAAGCTGCTTCAGCAAAGGTACTCCATGAGATAAACCATCAAGGTATTTTGCAAAAGATAAAAATTGCTCCAAGACAGGTCTAGTTATATGAACTCTTGATGACTAAGAAAGAAAACAGAAATTCTAGCTTGAAATATCCAGAATATTAAATTGTATAATTTCTGACTTAGCATAAGCACACATGAATTTTTCATATGCTATCACTAATAAATATGAAATACATTTATATTATTTGCTATTAAAATATAATTTTATTAAGAGATCTAAAATTTTAGCTATTTCTTTGAGTGATAGCTTGTTATTTGAAGCCTAATCTAAGACAATTACAGATAAATAATTCAAGTTAAATAATGCTACTATTAGCTAAAGCTAAAGAAATGAAATGTTATAAGAATGGCTTCATTTCATTTTTTGTAGAAATTGACATATAAGAAGAAATCTTAGACATAAGAATAGAGATTGTTTAAAACATGTAAAAATATTGCTTAAAAATATGTAAAATATTGCTTAAAATATTATTTCCTTGGTCTGCTCTTCATAAATACCGTATCCCTGGATGATATATTATGCTTTCACAGCTTCATATAACACTATGTCTATGCTGAGTACTCACTTCAAGAATTTTCAACTGCTATCACCATATACCTATTACCAATGGTATTTAAACAACAGACTCTCCAAAATTGAAACCAAACCTTAAAGCTGCACCATCTCATACAGTAGCCAGAAGCCCTATGTGGCAACTGAGCTGCTGGAATGTTGCAATTGAAAGTGAGATGTGTTGTGAGTATGAAAACACTGGGTTTTTCCAGCTCAGAATATTTTTAAAAATCGTATTTTCTTATTGAATAGATGTTGAAATAATATTTTGCATATTATCAAAATAAAATACTAGACTAAAGACATTATTAAGATTAATATAACCTGTAATTTTTTACTGGAAAATATTAAATTGCACCTGAGGTTTGAATTGTATTTTAATTGGACAATGCTATCCTAGAATACAATTTCAGATAAAAATGCTATATTAAAAAATGCTCTTCACAAAAGCTGATAATTCAAACTCAAACTTCAAAAAATATATCTTCCGACACAAATCTTTTCTTCCTCATCTAGTGATACAGTTTTGTAGTATCACTATCCTTTCAGTCATAGGGTAAAGAATCATGTACCACTCAACCCTAAAGCACACATCACACAACACATCTTTCCTTCCTATTCTTCACTGACTGAAGTCTGAATATAAGTTTAAGACGATCAAAATTTAAAAGGGATGAAACTGTCTTACCAATTTTACCTCCCATATGATTTAGCTATATTTCTCATGATCATAAGGACAACTCAATAAATTTGACTTAAACACATCATGAATTTTCACACTTCTACATAAAAGGTCACAAACTAAAATGATTGCAAATAACTAACAACAATGTGTAAACCAGTGTAGGAGACAAAAAAGAGTGGTGAGGAACAAAACTAAACCTTTTTGTTGAGTCCCACAGAATATTACTGTGGGCCAGTTTCACCCACAGGACACATTTTCTTCCCCTGCTTTCTCTGTCTTGCTCCCCCAGTTTGTAACACCCTTGCATACATTTCCTTTACCTTAAAGGTAGAGCTCAAGACTTTTATTTTAGTCATTTAGAAAATATACATGCTGATTGCTCACTGTCAGTCAAATACGCTCCCTGGCACTGTCAAAAAAGCAGCTAACAAAATTGAAGTAAAAACTCTGTCTCACAGAACATATTCTAAGAGATGATAAGGCAGGAACACAGAGTAAATAAAATAAAAAGGTACAATATGTAACATGTTAGAGGTTACTAAGTTCAATGAAAGAAACTATGGAGCAGATAAAACATTTGTAGAAGAATGGTGAACAGGTTTTACTAAGAAGGGGCATTTAATTGGTTCAAATTATTATAAGGTTACAAATAATTTAGTATTAATATAATAGAATTCTTTGTCTGACAAAATTACCAATGGTGCTTACATAAGCAATAGCCTACAAAATTCAAAGCAAACCTTAGTACATAATTTTCACTGAAAATTTTATGAAAGATGGTGGAAATCAATCTAAATAAATAGCTGAGTTAATAAAGGAGGGGAACCAAAACAAACATTTGAGTTTAAAAAGTAAAGATTGAGTATTCATATTTAAAGGAGTATCAGTGAAAATAATATAGTACTTTAAATTAAAAATATTTTATTTGTAAAGGAATAAAATTAAAATAAGAGATCAATAGTTATTTAAAACTTCAGCCAGCTCCTTCACTAAATATAATTTCACATAGCTTATCTTATACATTCTATTTTTATTCAGTAGTAATGATTTCAAGAACATGATCTGATAACATTCTACTCTCACACTTAAAACTCTAAAATAAAATACAGTCAGATCCTGTTTATAGATAAACATACTATGTGACCAGACTGTAGCTCATAAAAATTATTCATCATGTCCTTATAAAGAACATTAACCTGTATTATAAAATCAGGCTGACCATTATAAACATATCCACTTGATGAATTCATAATATAGAAACAAGTTTGGAACTTGGACCATGATATTAAAAGGTATACTAAAAGCATCACAAGGCCTTCCACATTACTTAAAAAAAAATGGGGGGGCCTGCTGTTTTCACATAACAATTAATGCTGTTGGGTGGCAGATTTTCATTCTAAAATTATTCTTTAGAAAATATTTTATTGTCTTTTTATTGATCTCCTCAAAATCCTACTATTCTGGATTATAAATAGTGTATAAATGTATAAATGAATATTCTCTTCAACAGCATGTTACCTTTACCTCTTAGAAGTACTTATTCCTCCTTCCTTGTATTATTGTTAGTAAAAAAAAAAATCTCTCTTTCGTAATATAAGAAAGAATATTATCTTATTCATCTTTTGTCTTCCTGATCCCTACCCTAATTTCTCAGGGAACATTTAACTGAAATAATGTCAAATTCAAAAATGGAGTAAGAATAGAATAGGTAGGAAAAAACAAAGCCTGGGAAGAGAAGAAAGAAGATTCTAACTCTGCTTTTAAATGTATTTCATTTGATTAACAGTTTCAAAATATTTTTATATTTTGGTATTTGTTTTCATTTTCTCAAGTAAAACTACTTTAAAAACAGATCTACACTTGGATAATTTATAGTTATAAATCTGTAACCTTTAGATGGAACAATTTAAATCTCATAGAAAATGTAAGCCCTGGAATTTGATCTATATATTAATTTTATGTGGTGACAGAATACATAATTTTTAAGAAGTACTATAATGTGACATGGCTAACCATATTTGGAAATAATACCTGAGAAGTTATAAAAATAGTTGCATTATAGCATCCAATCCAGAATTAACTAAACCAAATAGGAGCACTGGCGGTTACAAAGAGAAACTTCTGTTCAATAAAGAGAGATTGTTCCAACATTTAGATTAGCCTATAATGGAACAGGTTATCAGAAATGTTCATTTTTATTGTAGAAAGCATTATACATACACACACATATACCCATAACATGTATGATTATATATTCAATAAATTGTGTAAAACTATTTTAATTGTAGAGGTACACCATAGTCTATTATCCATTCTGCTCCTCCCAGGACTCCAAGGTTGTGCTCCAAATAGCCTAATCCAACCAGATTAATCATTTGTTGTTGTTTTGGTGGAGTGATGGGGAGGGTGGCAGGCAATGATTAGTTCAGAGACTCAGTATCAAAGTGTAGCATAGCAACAATTGATTCAAAAGAAGGCCAGCCAAGCTCTAAGCTAACCAATCAAATTGGAGAGAAGAATCTTGCTCAGTAATTGACAGAAAGGAGCTTGCTTTCTTCACCTGGATGTGAAGGTCTATAGCACTAATTCTCTCTGGCAGCCTTGTGACCTCAAACAGTATCAGCTTTAGCATAAAATCAACACTGTAGCTGGTACAGCAGAGATATAGATAAAACCTGGGTCTCTGATGACATTATTGAGACTCAGATAACCCAGCCCTGAAACACAACTTATGTTTGCTGCTTTTCCAACCTTTTGCTGCCTTTCCAACCTCCCTGTCCTGTTTTAATGCTTGGGACGCTCCCTTGCCTACTGGTTTCCAGTTGAGTTTGACTAATTGAAGACATTAGCAAGAAATTAAGGGACAGAAAGAAAATGAAGTTGGGTATACATTTTCCAGATTTTACCCCTTCAGTACACTTACACTATACTCCTTTCTTGAAGACCACAGTCCCATCAGGCACCCTTCTTCTATAGCTACAATAACTTTCTCTTTGGGTTATGCTAAACACTTATTCCCCTCATCTCTTCAAATCTTCCCAAGCTCCCTGCTTTCAACTTTTTGAATACCCTTGCATTAAACTCTTCTCAAAAACCTAGGTTGAGTACACCATCTGTTTCCTGCCAAGAATATAACTGATATGCCATCTAACACTAGACTTTGTTACATTAGTATATTTTCTTAATGTTTAAGATACTTTGAATCAAATTTTCTACTAACCACAATCAAAAATATCCTATTGAATATACTGGATAACCTCTAAGTTTTCCACAAGATCATATTTTGGCAAAACAAAACAAAAACACCTTAAAATTTTTTCATGGAACAGTAAAATTGTTATTAATAAAAGGCCTCGCATATACTATCTTCCTAAGATATCTTCTATGACAAGGAGATATAAAAGCTAAGTGGCATTAACCAGTAACCTGTTATTAAGTTAAGAAATTAAAAAATCAAACTTCTATTACCTATACTATTAATACTAACCTGGCCACTGATTATTTAAAAATAACACAATATGAGCATTCCTCTGAGAAAGGTAAAAAAGTTACTGTTTCTTAGGTAATCAGACAAGCATGCAAGGACATTTCATATACTCAATTCAACAACTATTTACTGAGCCCAGCACTGTGCTAGGTGCTGAAGATATAACAATAAGAGGAGACAAAAAAATATATATACATACATATATATATACACATATATATATATATATATATATATATATATATATTGCCCCTGCTTTCATGAAGCCTACATTCTAGCAGGAGGAGGCAGAAAATTGGTAAAAAATATAAAACACGCCAGAATGGTGCTGTAAAATTAGCAGAGTAGGTAAACACTGATGGTTATGGAAGGGATACTAATTTATTTAGAATGATCGGAGAATATTTCTGTGATAAGGCATCATACAAGCAAAATCCTGAATGAAGCATAGAATCAAATTCTGTGAGTATCTGAAGAAAAAGTGATGGAAACAATGGGGGAAGTAAATGCAAAAGTCCTTGGGTAAATTCTTATCATTTTAGTTCTTAAGGGAAAGGCAAAAAGACCTTTGCCTAAAACAGAGAAAGCAAGAGAGTGGGGAGAGATGATGTGAGGTGTAAGGCTTATGACTTCATTATGAGAAGGATGAAGACTTGAATAAGATTTGGCACATTTTAGGACAACTAGTCTAACTGCAAGTGAAAAACGGACTGTAGGTAACCAATGGTGAAGGACGATCATGATTTGAACTAAAATGGTATCAACGGACATAGTAAGGAGTTGAGAAATAAAGAGGAAGTAGTAATTGATTCTGGATATGTTTTGAGAGTAAAACAACATAATTTCCTGAGAGTTTGGATCTAGAGTGCAACAAAAGTAGAGTCAAAAACAATTAACTTTTTGGTTTCAACTACTTGTTGAATGGTAATGCCACTAAATAAGACAAACAACTCTGAAGGATGAAAAATTTGAGAGAAAAATCAGTCTGGATAATTTAGTCAAGAAGATTACTAGAAATCCAAGTGGAACTAAAAATAGGAGAAACAATTGAGGGTAATTAGTATTTACAGGATCACGGGAGCTGTAGAAGTGGATAATCTCAATTAGAGTAAGGTACTGTGTAGATGGAAAAGTGAAATGCTTTCCAGGATTAATCACTGGGAAAGAAGAGTCATCAGAATTTATAAAGATGAAGGAGAACTAATGAGAGAGAATAAGTAAGAGAAAAACAAAGCAAACCATGGCAAAACACAATGCAAGAAAGCATTTCAAGAAGGAAAGACTGTTCAACCGAAATATTCACAGGTCGAATAAGATAAGGACTGAGAAATAATCACAGGACAGACTGTGAAGGCCACTGGTGACAAAGACATGAGCCATCTGAAAGGACATGGAAGAATGAAAGACAGGTTGGAATAGGAATAGATTTAGGAGTAAGTGAGTGTCCAGGAATATAAGGAAGGTTTAAAATCTGAAAAATAATCAATGTAATTCACTAAGAAAAATGAGAAACATCATACTCATCTCAAATACTGCAGAAAAGATGTTTGATAAAATCCTGTTTATAATAAAGAAAACTCTTAGAAAAATAGAAATAGATAATTCCTTAATTTAACTAAAAAATCTACAAAAACTAATTATTAAAAAGATCATACTTAGTGTCTAATTATTAACAGCATTGCCCATGAGATCAGGAATAAGACAGGGATGGCCACTATCACAACTTTTATTCAACACTGTACTGGCAGTCTTTAGGTGGCATAACAAGGCAAGGAAAAAAATAAAAAAATAAATATTAGAAAGGAAAAAACAAAACTATCATTCTCCGATGTTATTATTGTCTACAAAATTTTTTTTGAAAAAAATCTACAAATGACTAGATTTAATAGAGGAATAGAAAGATTGGTATATAAAAGTTCAACATAAATATCAATTATAATACTATGTACCAGTAACAAATTAAAAATCAAAACTTTTAATTGCTTCTTGGCCTTTTGGGTAAGATCAAGTGCAAAGAATTAAAATTTTAAGGGCATCAAATAATATCAAATATCTGGAAATAAATCCATCAAAAAGACAGAAACTGTTCTATACAGAAAACTACAAAAGAAAATCTAAATTAATAAAAGAATATACCAAGTATATGACTTGAAAGATTCAATATAGGAAAGATGTCAATATAATACAATAAAAATCCTCATGTTTTTTGGTGGAAGTTGATAAGCTGACATATATGGAAATGCAAAGACTCAGAAATGGCCAAGGCAATCGTCAAGAACAACAGTAAAGCTAGATGACATACTCTTAAATATCAGGCTGCACTAAAAAGCTATACAAATTAAAATACTGTTGGAATATTACTTAGCAATAAAAAGGAATGAAAAAAAATATGCTATAACATGGATGCACACTGAAAACATTATGCTAAGCAAAATGGACCAAATACAAAAAGACAAATATTGTATGATCCCACTTACATGAAATATTTAGAATAAGCAATTCATAAAGCCAAAAAGTGAATTATGGATTGACTAGGGGTGGGAATCATGAAGAGATATAGGGAAAATTGGTAAAGGAAATGAATAACAAAGAAGATAAAATATTCATTTTCCATAATTATATATGAAAATGTCTAATCTTATTCAAAATCTAGGAAAAGTGCAAATTAAAACCACAATGAAATAATATTTTGCATCCACTAAATTGACATTATAATATGAAATATTAACATACATTTTTATTTGAAGGCTTTTACAAATATTTCTAATTATAAGCTAAGTTTTAAGTAAAAGAATGTTTAATTTAGGATTTTCTGATACATTCTCAAGTAAACAAATGAAAGCACATTTAAAGGGGTAAGTCCTCACAGAAATCCTGTCACACACAGTAATCTTACAAAGGCATTTCATATGTTATCGAATTCATGTTAAATGTAGCTTATCATACATCTTCTAAACAATTCTTAATACTCTAGATACAGAAAAAGAGTATTCTCTTATTTTAAAAAATAAACCAAAGAGCCTTAAGTTCTTAATAATGTTATGGAAAAAATCATCTCAATAAAGAAATGCTACCAATGATCAATCTTAACAATCTACCACTCTTCAATGCTTAATCCTTAAGGAAAGGTCAGCACTAGTTTCAAAGACATATTTTTTATATATATAACATATATATGTATAAAGACATGTAATATATAAAATATAGCATATTTTAGAACTTGACTCTTTTTGTGACTAAATAATATTCAATTGCATGTATACACTACATTTTGTTTGTCCATTAATCAACTGATAACATTTCAAATGTAAAACAATTGGAGGTAAAATTAAAACTGCTTCAAAGTATGTTCTCAATTTTTTTCCAGAGGAAATGTATGTTTATCCCTTAGTTGAGATCTCACTTCTATTACTTTTCAAATAGTCTCATTTTCAGAGCAGCTGAATATTATAGAGTTAACTAACTGATAAGAGGTTTGAGAGTGCTAATAAAGGGCACAGGTATTTGTCATTAAAAAAAACCACAACATGCTGGCTGGACGCAGTGGCTCACGCCTGTAATCCCAGCACTTTGGGAGGCTGAGGCGGGCGGATCACGAGGTCCGGAGATCGAGACTATCCTGGCTAACACGGTGAAACCCTGTTTCTACTAAAAACACAAAAAAATTAGCTGGGCGTGGTGGCAGGCGCCTGTAGTCCCAGCTACTCGGGAGGCTGAGGCAGGAGAATGGCGTGAACCCGGAAGGCGGAGGTTGCAGTGAGCCGAGATCGCGCCACTGCACTCCAGCCCAGGCGACAGCGAGACTCTGTCTCAAAAAAATAAATAAATACTAAAAAAATAAAAAATAAAAAAACGCTTATTCATGAAATCTCACTAATTTTTAAAGGAAATCACATGATACAACTAAACTCTTGTGAGATCATAATCAGAAATTCAGCACTCATAAAAGCACAGCTGTGACTAAAGCAAAAGAGGTCATAAAACAACATAAATGACACAAAATAGGAAAATGTAAACCCATCTAATTTTTATTGTTTATACTATGTATAGATGAAAAAAACTACTTTAAATAGTCATATATATTAAGAGTAGGGAAAAAGAGCACAAAATAATGTTTCTATTACTACAAAATAAAAATTTTGACCGCATAATTAAAAAATAACACAAAACCTAACAGGTAAATCCATGTATACTAAATATAAAGATTTTTATCTTAATAAAAAAGACTTTCAAGAAACAGTCTAAGGCCAGGCGCAGTGGTTCATGCTTGTAATCCCAGCACTTTGGGAGGCCGAGGTGGGCAGATCACTTGAGATCAGGAGTTCAAGACCAGCCTGGCCAACGTGGGGAAAACCCTGTTTCTACTAAAAATACAAAACTTTAGCTAGGCATGGTGGTACGCACCTGTGATCCCAGATACTAGGGAGGCTTAGGCAGGAGAATTGCTTGATTGAACTCGGGAGGTGGGGGTTGCAGTGAGCCAAGATCGCACCACTGCACTCTAGTGTGGGAGACAGAGTGAGACACTGTCTCAAAAAAAATAAAAAATAAAAAAAAAAGTCTAAGTGAAAAGATAGCAAAGAAACAACTACAGTACTCACTTCTTATCCGGAGGCGATGCTTCCAAGACCCCTAGTGGATGATATATACGATTTTCAGTCTGAGAACTGAGATAGCTACTAAATGACTAATAGGAAGACAGTGTATACTGCATGAAAAAGCTGAGCAAAAGGAGGATTCATGTCCGGACTTGATGAAGAGAGACAGTACGAGATTTCATCACTCTACTCAGAACAGCACACAATTTAAAAGTTATAAATTGTTTATTCCATTTAATATTTTTGAACTGCAGTTGTCCATGGGTAAGTGACACCTTAGAAAGAGAGAGTAGAAATAAAGGGGTACTACTATAGAAAAACTTAAATGATACTTATTGCTTGAATAGATATAGATGAAATTTTTTTCTTTAGTTTTTTAATTCAAAATTTAATTATGCTTCCAATACCCAGTTAATTCCATGTCTACACTTAAATCTAAGATGTTTGTGAGTTAGCAAATAGTATAATCTCTACACAGTCAATGGAAAGTGAAATTATAGAAAAAATATAATTAGTGATTGTCAGCTGTCCAACTGTGAGGCTACACAATAAAACCATCAACACATCACCTACCGTTTCAAGTAATTAGCCAATAACTAAAAAGCCTTTTCCACCCAGCACCTGTTCTTGCATGGCTACTGAACTTTTAAGTAGTTCAACCAGGAATGCCGAAAGAGTAGCACTGCATGTAAAGTACAGATATCATTATGTAATCATCACGTTTATTCTAAACACAGTGCTCCATTTCAGTATTTTATTATGCCAAGAGATAACCATATTCAAATCTAATCTCTATTTTATTGACAATGACTATTATGCCTTATATTATGAAAGAATATATTTCCTGATAAGCATGAGAAAACTAGTGTTGTCCTTTACAAATTAAATATAATAAACTGAATCATAACTGTGTAGTTTTTTTACATTCCAAAGTAAAACATCAAAGTTTATCGCTACATATATTTATAGGTCTGGCTTCAAGTAAACCTAAGAAACATACACATATCATTTTCCATAATAAAGACTGTATCATACTATTCTTTTGAATAACAAGCTATTGTAGAGAATTTTAAATATAGATGCAATATTGCTTTGTAAGAACAAGCCCTATTTTTAAATAAACTTTTCATTTAGAACTATTCTTCAAAAACACTTTGTTAAAAAAAATCCAGAGGAATATGTAACATGTCACTTATGTCCAGGTATGCCCTAAGAAAAGCTCATGAGAGCAAAGAAATGATTTATGTAATATTGAAATGAAAAGTGACAATTACACAGTATATAAACAAATACATAAAGGCAGACAAAGAGGCGTCAAAGATTTAGCACTTGGTATGTCTTTGGAATGAATGAAGAAACAAAATAGAAAGACTGCATTGAATTAAGCTTTGATAATATATTACTTCATAGTTACATATAATGATTTTAACCAGCAACACTGATATATGAATATAGTATTCTGAATAATGGAAATACATATTCCTTCACTGTATATGCTTAATGTAGCTCATAATAAATTGTTATATACCAGATTTTATCAACAATTAAAAGAATATCAATTTACAATGTTTTATAATATACCCTAAATTACCTATTTATATTCATAAGAAAGGGTAAAACCACAAATTTCTAAACATATTTTAAATGCAGAAGTACTCATTCTTACAAGTAATTCAGACAATTTGGTAATAAGGAAAACTTGAAAATTATTAAAGCCCGAAAGGAATCTGAAGTTATTCTAATTTTTGAATTATTCTAGCTCTTCCAGTTTCAATAGGGATAATGTATTTTTCTCATAATGTGGCTACTTTTGTTCAAATCAGAAATGTTCTCATAACAAGAACCAACAGCAAAATTATCATTGTCATTATTATAAAAATTGATAGTTTAATGAATTACATATCAGCTAGACAAAATATAGTATCCAGAAATAAAGTACTTCATTATAGGAAATTAAAATTCAATTATATTAACTGACCCTATATCCTTAAACCACAAAAAATGTAAACTATCACATATCAATGATTTTTTTTTTACTTTGTCCTTAAGCCAAAGATAGACACTTACAAGAAAACTACAACTACCAATGAGTCTCTTGGGATTTTAAAAAACGTTTCTGTAAAGAAGCACAGCTATTAAGCAATCTAGTCCATTTTAAATGAATTGAATAGTCAAGGCCACTTCACAAATAATTGCTAAGTACTATATTACACATAACACATCTGCCTAGATGTGTAAAAAGAATAAAGAAAACCATGCATAGAGGTTACACAATTTCCTAATCTGTTCATAGAATTCTTACATACACCAAAGTTAGTGATTGAGGGAAAATGGATTCCTAAACATGAGCACTGCCAAAAAGAAAGACTAGAAATGCCTCACAGTGGTCCTTATGATCCATGAAAAAAGGCAAAAAAGTATTTTACAGTAAATCACCCTACTATATAGAACCATATACAATTGCAAGGATGACACAGATTTTCTCATTCTTTTATGTCAGAATAACTACTCATTCTCAAATATCTAATGAGTTAACTCAGACCTCTAAACACAGTGGAGCCCTATTATAAAAACTGAAATATTAATATTATTATTCCAAAATCTTAACAAGACTCTGCTATCCATGAAGTATTAATTTCACTTCAACATTAACTAGGACACCAATTGAAATGTCAAATGCATTCACTAACAAAGGTAGTTTCAATTTATACCTAAAACCCAATGCAATAGCAATACCACATCTTTGCAAAAAAAAAAAAAATCTTTACAATAAGGTATAATTGACATGGTGGACGTAATAGTAAATAGATGGCCATCTTCGAAGAGGTACATTTTCAAACATAATTCAACAAACTTACCAGGAACTAAAATGCATCGGATTGTTGCAGGGCTCACAATAAACTTGCAAAATTCTGTGTACTGCCATACAAAATTTCTCTCCATTCTTGCCTATTTCCAACTTCCCTAGATACAAAGGCAAATATAAAAGATACTTCAGCCCATTCCTATATCTCCTACATACAACTTCCTGTCTAGAACGCATCAGTTCATCTGCAGAGGATCTAAATATATACTCCAGGATAAACCAAAAAGCAAGTACTGGTGTCAGCCAAAACTAATACAACATAGAACACTCTCTTGAAAACTATATCAATACCTAGGAAAAGATTTTCAGAGGAGTATTTTATTTTATAGACCAAAAGTATGCTGATTATTATGTCATGATATGTAATTGCTCAACTTTTCAACAGACAGTACTATAACACATGTTCTATAAGTAGCAATTCTACTTCAGGAATGGATGAGAGTTTGTAATCCTGTATCTTTTTAAGGAAAATGATGCTAATAATCTAGTGGGTGTTTTTTCTTAAAAATAATTACCATCTTGTAATTCTTAATAAGCTTAATTTGTTAGAAAATAATGTTTATTTCAAGTATCAGATCGTAAAGGGTTAGACCATGGGAAAAAAATGAAAGAAATAGCATAATAATACCTCTTGTAAATTAGCATATTTATTATTTCTCCAGAGCTTTTTGGCCTTTATTGATAAAGAATGCCACAACAGTCTTGGCCCACAAATACCTGAGAATATTTATTAACTATGTATAAAAACATAACTAACCTGTTTATAATATACATATATTTATATGCCATTAAAATTTAAATATAGATTTTGACTTATTTTACTATAACTTTATCCATTTCAATTTGTATTTAATTTTTTAAAATAACTAATGTAGATATAACTCATGTAATGTGATCCATGAAGTTTTATTATTTTTGAGGTACTTTTATTATTTAGAATTCAATATATCATAAAGATACACCTAATTCATAACTAAAATGATTAAGAGTGAATATATAAACCTAAGTTCTGTTCAAAGGTAGCTCTCTGAAGACATAAACTGGCTATTCAATTTGGTTTTTACTGAAAAAGCAAAGTACCACAGCTAGATTGGCTTTTTAAATAAAGATCTTTTTATTAAGAAGACTGGAAATAACTTACGTAAAAAGTAAAGATTCCCCCCCTAAAATCCAATACCTCCTCCACTTTTAAAAGAATGTTGCAAAGTAATCAAGTAGATTAAGTTTCAAATCGGATTTACGGTTATCAGTAAGGGGGAAAAATCTTTTGACATTTTCAAAACGTTTCATCTCTTAAGCCTAATTTAGGACTGAATTACAGTGAAATATTTTAAAAGATGATTAAAATTACGTAAAATATTTAATATCACAGTTTCTATAGTATTTCTCTCACTACAAAACTCTTCCTAAATAAGTGATCATAGCAGAAATTGACTTCACTGTACATTAATCAATTCAATTCCACACCCAAAACAATTTTGCATCCAAGATAATTTTCAGTGACACAAAAAAACTCACAGTAAGTTCTAAGAGTTAATTTCCTTCACAGTTCAACATTAGAAAGGGCTAAACCATATGCTACAATAGACCTCATGTGATATTTCCAACATGTGGGTTATCTTAGAGTTGGTCTATGATGATTTTCTCTTCCCTTGAGAATAAGTCACATTTTCCTGACCATTTTTAGAATAAGTACTTTTGGATTATATGCTAAATAGTGTGACTATTACTCTGTACAATACTGTAGAGAAACTTTCTGGCCAGAAAGTTTCCTATAAAAGCAAAAAATGGGGATATCAGTCCATGCAGACTGACTGTTCCATATTTTGACTACCCTCGCCTGCTTTTATTCAATCTTCACAATCCTCAGATAGATGTTATCTATATTATGTGCAGAGTTTACAAATGGTTATTTTTGAGAAGATCAGTTTGTTAGGAGCTCACCCCTCTATACAAGTATCAGAAATCCTCTGAAGTGATTTTTAATTTGAGGTTGTGTTATACTTTTTCTCTTATCAGTTAGAACTTCTTTATGATATAGCAAATTATAAAAACTATTATACTATCATATTCATAAATGAAGGAGAGAACTCAAAGCTAAATTTTCAAATATCTGGCCATGAAGACTAACTGCTTGCCACACGGGATTAACAGAACAATGAGAAAATGTCTAGTAATAATTATAAAATATAAAAACTTTGTTAAAATCTGATTTGCAAGCTTATGTCAAAGGGCCACCTCATACACAATCTTGAAGACATTAAATAACCCCAAATAGCCACTGTAAACTTATCTGGCAGTAAATTTTACTATACTAGACAAATCTACAGTGAGATTTTCTGTTATTTTAAATATTTTCTGTATTTCTGTATTTTCCAAAATGAACGGTTTATTTAGTTAATAAGTGATACCCTAACTTATTTACTGTTTCCAGAAAATAACCAAGTACAGAATATATACTGATAAGCTGCAATGCTCAAAACCAAATATCAACAGAAAAAAATTTACCTAGCACTACAGTGACCAACAAGTCAAAATCATTTGTGACAGGCTCCATTGAATATATAGTTTGATGGCATTATTTGAAGGTAGAATTAACTTATTTTATTAATTTTGAAGCCCATATGTTGACATGCTATCTACACTAAGCTCAGAATCATAAATATTGTCTGACCATTACAATGAAAGTTCCATATAACTGAAGGCAATAAATATAAATACTAAGTTATTATACAACACTAAGTAACTTAAACTCCATTTTGTGATTTATCCAAATGTCCATTAGTTAATTATATTCTCTACACCTTAAAAGTTCCGCTGTAGCCCTCTACCCCCCTTCACTCACAGAGAGTGACTTTAGCAAGATAATTTTGACTATGTGTGAACTACTCAGCTTTTCTTCTGTCAAAACACAATCTGATCATTTGCATTCCTCCTTCTCTATGTTCTCTGAATTTCTAAAAAAAAAAAAAGGTTTTTAATATAAAAAATTTTTGCTGATGCCTGTCATGGTGCAATTGTACTTATACTATTTACAAATTGAGGAAATGCATGTACCTGTGGCTTTATCAACCCCCACTAACAACAAGGGGTGCAGTAAGCTGAGAACTTTCAAAACTTAAAAAAATACTCTCTGATGTAATGCCCAAATTTACAGGTATCTCTCTTAAAAGTTCTGACTTTAGGTACTCTACACTGTGTGTTAGGATATTAAGGATACACTACGTCACATGAGCTGTGCACGTATGATGACCGGGTTACTGCTCATTATCACTGTTGTTAAAAAGAATGACGAGAAAGACGTGTGAAAAGAATACTACAAACTACAGAGATTGCAAAGCTGTTCAGGACAAAGTTTGCTTCTCTGTGAATAGAAGAATTACAAAATTGCTTATATTCAGCCCTTTTCCTTGATGTTGCCAGGAAGCTCCCATCAATTCTGAAATTTCACATTAGCAATCATATTGGATTTGTATTTTCTTGATACTCTACCTTTTTATATTTCATTTGTTTGCTTGTCACTCTATTTAATATCATTCTATTAGAGCTTAAAAAGATACTGCAAGCATTTTATGAAACAACTCAAAGAAGTAGAAAAGAAAAGCAGGCAGCATATTAATAAAAAATGTGAATTACAAAAATGTTCCTATGCAAGATCAGCAATGGCAGAACCAGGATGCAAATTCGACAAAAAGACCCATGAAAGAAAAAGTAGCTGGACAAGCACAAATTCATTTCTAGAGCTAGTAGGACAAAAACAAAAATGATATGGAAAATATATGATAGCAAGTATTGTTACCTTGACATAAAAATAATAGCATTATTATCCTTCAATATTATCATGGTTATTAAAGTCACTGAGAAAAAAAGATCTTTTAATATGGGTAAATTCAAACTTTCCTCCCTCGCTCTATATATATATATCCGTGTGTGTGTGTGTGTGTGTGTGTGTGTGTGTGTGTATATATATGTATATATATATATGACAAAAATAAAAACAGAAATACCAATGCAAAAATACAGAGGCCAAAGAGGGAATTTTTTTATGTTTTTCCTTTCCATTACACAATCTTCACATTAATTAAATTGAGTTCAATAAAAAAACCACACTTCCGTACAAGACAAGTACTCCTTCAGAATTATAAACACTTTGACTATAATGTGTAATTCTCTTTCAGCTCTAAGTAGTTTGAGACTTCACAATTCCCAGTGTGATTTAAACAGAACCCTTATATGTTCCCCTAGCCAGGTGTACCGCACATTTAAAACTAACTCATATACGTGCATGCTGTTATCTTACCTAGTCTTTGTTCTTAAAGTTTAAAAAACAGAAAGAATGATAAATTACATTAATTAGTTTTGCTAAATTAGTTTACTCACTACTGTACCTACTTCCTCACTGCAATTAAAGCAAAAATATAAACTAAAATTAAATAATTTCAGGCCCATGAAATATATTATCTTAGATTCCTTCTAAATCTTTAACTCTTCTTTCCAAGTTACCAGTAATATTAACAAGTTCTTTATTATGTTCATTATGTAATATATATTTCAAATTTTTGTATTTTAAATACTACATTAAGCAAAACAGTTTTATAAGATTATTTCAGAATTGTTAAAAGGCATGCTATCAATATTAGAAAATATTCTGAAGAATAAAAAAGTTTATAAAGAGAAAAGAGTTGAGAAAAAAGCACCTTTGAACCGAAAAGAAACATATAATAAAAACTGACTACATTCCAAAAAATAGAAATGACTCTTAAACTGTATTAAAGAAAGATTTTCACTAAAAGTTATATTACATCACATTTTACATCTAAAACGCTCTCTAGAATTTATAAAATTACAGTTATTACTACCTTATATCTAGGTCCTAACTGATGAATTGCAAATATCTGTGCTGGGTTGAGTGCTTCACTGAACGGCAACAAGTTGAGCACAGAATACGCTATTTGCATCAGCAGTTTCTGATGAACCACGAAAGCACTTGTCATAGCTCTATTTTTAAAAGTCATTAAAAATGCATTATTTTTAATGATGAAAAGGTTTAAATCCTTAAATCGGCCTTTAGGAATATTTTAAAATATAACAATAATAATAGAAGAAAGCATCAATTAAGACTTTATTATTTAAATAATAAATGCCAGTCAAGTTTTTTGGGAAAAATGACCAATTACATGTTTTACACTTACATTTAAGCAAACAAAACAATAGCCACCTACTCAGTCTTCCGACTTACTTTTCAAATATTATAGTTAAAGGCAAAATAGCTTATATTTATTTATTTACAAACGTTAAAATAATTTAAAACTGTCATGATGTATAATGATCCATATATAGAGATTGATCTGAATCAAGGGAATGACTATTCCAAAATGTAATCATGAAAACATAGGGTCTAATTTTTTAAATTCAACTTTATTTTTGAAATTATGAATCTATTCCTCTACTCCTCCATATTTAGTAAAACACACAAAGAAAATAAATCCCCGCTCGTGTGTGAGTAGGAACTACACAGAACGAAACACACAATAAGACTATAATCTGCTGCTTAAAGCAGATGGTACAGTGCTCTCCACATTGAGGAATTCAGCACTGAAGAAGTCAAAAGCTTAAGATCTTTCCAGCCTCTACATCTTACACCCCACCCACCCAAACCAGGGAAAGCAGTCATGGCTCAGTTCCCTTCCCCTATCCTCAAAGGCTATTTCACACCTTAGAATGAATAAGCAAGAATCATATATGTAAGAAGTACTTTTGGTCCTTCAATAAAGTAACAAAAAGAATTGTGAATGCATACAAAGGCAAAAAGAACTGTCATCATTAAATACCCAATCTTTAATTAGAAGTATAGGAACTTAAACTTTAACTGCATAAAGTATGTGTCATTATCTAGGAATTC